>NC_000010.11:40928008-41117818 GCF_000001405.40 Homo sapiens
GTCATTCGTAGAAACTAGTTTGTGATGTGTGCCTTCAACTCACAGAGTTTAACCTTTCTTTTCATAGAGCAGTTGGGAAACACTCTATTTGTAAAGTCTGCAAGTGGATATTTGGACCTCTTTGAGGCCTTCGTTGGAAACGGGATTTCTTCATACAACGCTAGACAGAAGAATTCTCAGTTACTTCTTTGTGTTGTGTGTATTCAACTCACAGAGTTGAACCTTTCTTTAGAGAGAGCAGAGTTGAAACACTCTGTTTTTGGAATTTGCAAGTGCAGATTTGAAGCGATTCTAGGCCTATGGCAGAAAAGGAAATATCTTCGTATAAAAACTACACAGAATCATTCTCAACAACTACTTTGTGATGTGTGCGTTCAACTCACAGAGTTTAAACTTTCTTTTCATAGGGCAGTTTGGAAACACTCTGTTTGTAAAGCCTGCAGGTGCTTTTTTGGACTTCATTGAGGCCTTCGTTGGAAACGGGATTTCTTCATATAATGCTAGACAGAGTAATTCTCAGTCACTTCTTTGTGTTGTGTGTATTCAAGTCACAGAGTTGAACCTTACTTTAGACAGAGCAGTTTTGAAAAATTCTTTCTGTGTAATTTGCAAGTGGAGATTTCAAGCGATTTGAGGCTAATCTTTGAAATGGAAATATCTTCGTGTAAAAACTACACAGAATCATTCTCAGAAACTGCTTTGTTATCTGTGCGTTCAGTTCACAGAGTTTAACCTTTCTCTTCATAGAGCAGTTTGGAAAGACTCTGTCTGTAAAGTCCGCAAGTGATTAGTTAGACCCCTTTGAGGCCTTCGTTGGAAGCGGGATTTCCCATTTACTGCTAGACAGAAGAATTCTCAGTAAATCCTTTGTGTTGTGTGTATTCAACTCACAGAGTGGAACCTTCCTTTATTCAGAGCAGTTTTGAAACACTCTTTTTGTGGAATTTGCAAGTGGAGATTTCAAGCGATTTGACGCCAATCTTAGACATGGAAATATCTTCATATTAAAAGTACACAGAGTCATTCGTAGAAACTAGTTTGTGATGTGTGCCTTCAAATCACGGAGTTTAACCTTTCTTTTCATAGAGCAGTTCGGAAACACTCTATTTCTAAAGTCTGCAAGTGGATATTTGGACCTCTTTGAGGCCTTCGTTGGAAACGGGATTTCTTCATATAACGCTAGACAGAAGAATTCTCAGTAACTTCTTTGTGTTGTGTGTATTCAACTCACAGAGTTGAACCTTTCTTGAGAGAGAGCAGAGTTGAAACACTCTTTTTGTGGAATTTGCTAGTGCAGATTTCAAACGCTTCGAAGACAGTGATAGCAAAGGATATATCTTCGTATTAAAACTAGACAAAATCCTTCTCAGAAAACACTTTGTGATGTGTGTGTTCAACTCACAGAGTTTAACCTTTCTTTAATCGAGCAGTTTGGAAATACACTCTTTGTAAGTCTGCAGGTGGATAATTGGCCCTCTTTGAGCCCTTCGTTGGAAACGGGATTTCCTCATATAATGCTAGACAGAAGAATTCTCAGTCACTTCTTTGTGTTGTGTGTATTCAAGTCACAGAGTTGAACCTTCCTTTACACAGAGCAGTTTTGAAAAACTCTTTCTGTGGAATTTGCAAGTGGAGATTTCAAGCGATTTGAGGCTAATCTTTGAAATGGAAATATCTTCGTGTAAAAACTACACAGAATCATTCTCAGAAACTGCTTTGTTATGTGTGCGTTCAGCTCACAGAGTTCCACCTTTCTTTTCATAGAGCAGTTTGGAAAGACTCTGTCTGTAAAGTCTGCAAGTGATTACTTGGACCCCTTTGAGGACTTCGTTGGAAGCGGGATTTTTTCATTTACTGCTATACAGAAGAATTCTCAGTAAATCCTTTGTGTTGTGTGTATTCAACTCTCAGAGTGGAACCTTCCTTTATTCAGAGCAGTTTTGAAACACTCTTTTTGTGGAATTTGCAAGTGGAGATTTCAAGCGAATTCACGCCAATCTTAGACATGGAAACATCTTCGTATTAAAAGTACACAGAGTCATTCGCAGAAACTAGTTTGTGATGTGTGCCTTCAACTCACAGAGTTTAACCTTTCTTTTCATAGAGCAGTTTGGAAACACTCTATTTGTAAAGTCTGCAAGTGGATATTTGGACCTCTTTGAGGCCTTCGTTGGAAACGGGATTTCTTCATATAACGCTAGACAGAAGAATTCTCAGTAACTTCTTTGTGTTGTGTGTATTCCACTCACAGAGTTGAACCTTTCTTGAGAGAGAGCAGAGTTGAAACACTCTGTTTGTGGAATTTGCTAGTGCAGATTTGAAACGCTTCGAAGACAGTGATAGAAAAGGATATATCTTCATATTAAAACTAGACAAAATCATTCTCAGAAAACACTTTGTGATGTGTGTGTTCAACTCACAGAGTTTAACCTTTCTTTAATCGAGCAGTTTGGAAATACACTCTTTGTAAGTCTGCAGCTGGATAATTGTCCCTCTATGAGCCCTTCGTTGGAAACGGGATTTCCTCTTATAATGCTAGACAGAAGAATTCTCAGTCACTTCTTTGTGTTGTGTGTATTCAAGTCACACAGTTGAACCTTCCTTTACACAGAGCAGTTTTGAAGAACTCTTTCTGTGGAATTTGCAAGTGGAGATTTCAAGGGATTTCAGGCTAATCTTTGAAATGGAAATATCTTCGTGTGAAAACTACACAGAATCATTCTCAGAAACTGCTTTGTTATGTGTGCGTTCAGCTCGCAGAGTTCCACCTTTCTTTTCATAGAGCAGTTTGGAAAGACTCTGTCTGTAAAGTCTGCAAGTGATTACTTGGACCCCTTTGAGGACTTCGTTGGAAGCGGGATTTTTTCATTTACTGCTAGACAGAAGAATTCTCATTAAATCCTTTGTGTTGGGTGTATTCAACTCACAGAGTTGAACCTTCCTTTATTCAGAGCAGTTTTGAAACACTCTTTTTGTGGAATTTGCAAGTGGAGATTTCAAGCGATTTGAGGCTAATCTTTGAAATGGAAATATCTTCGTGTAAAAACTGCACAGAATCATTCTCAGAAACTGCTTTGTTATGTGTGCGTTCAGCTCACAGAGTTCCACCTTTCTTTTCATAGAGCAGTTTGGAAAGACTCTGTCTGTAAAGTCTGCAAGTGATTACTTGGACCCCTTTGAGGACTTCGTTGGAAGCGGGATTTTTTCATTTACTGCTAGACAGAAGAATTCTCAGTAAATCCTTTGTGTTGTGTGTATTCAACTCACAGAGTGGAACCTTCCTTTATTCAGAGCAGTTTTGAAACACTCCTTTTGTGGAATTTGCAAGTGGAGATTTCAAGCGAATTCACGCCAATCTTAGACATGGAAACATCTTCGTATTAAAAGTACACAGAGTCATTCGCAGAAACTAGTTTGTGATGTGTGCCTTCAACTCACGGAGTTTAACCTTTCTTTTCATAGAGCAGTTTGGAAACACTCTCTTTGTAAAGTCTGCAAGTGGATATTTGGACCTCTTTGAGGCCTTCGTTGGAAACGGGATTTCTTCATATAACGCTAGACAGAAGAATTCTCAGTAACTTCTTTGTGTTGTTTGTATTCAACACACAGATTTGAACCTTCCTTTAGAGAGAGCAGATTTGAAACACTCTGTTTTTGGAATTTGCAAGTGCAGATTTCAAGCGCTTCTAGGCCTATGGCAGAAAAGGAAATATCTTCGTATAAAAACTACACAGAATCATTCTCAACAACTACTTTGTGATGTGTGCGTTCAACTCACAGAGTTTAACCTTTCTTTTCATAGAGCAGTTTGGAAACACTCTGTTTGTAAAGCCTGCAAGTGCTTTTTTGGACTTCATTGAGGCCTTCGTTGGAAACGGGATTTCTTCATATAATGCTAGACAGAAGAATTCTCAGTCACTTCTTTGTGTTGTGTGTATTCAAGTCACAGAGTTGAACCTTCCTTTAGACAGAGCAGTTTTGAAAAATTCTTTCTGTGGAGTTTGCAAGTGGAGATTTCCAGCGATTCGAGGCTAATCTTTGAAATGGAAATATCTTCGTGTAAAAACTACACAGAATCATTCTCAGAAACTGCTTTGTCATCTGTGCGTTCAGTTCACAGAGTTTCACCTTTCTCTTCATAGAGCAGTTTGGAAAGACTCTGTCTGTAAAGTCTGCAAGTGATTAGTTAGACCCCTTTGAGGCCTTCGTTGGAAGCGGGATTTCTCATTTACTGCTAGACAGAAGAATTCTCAGTAAATCCTTTGTGTTGTGTGTATTCAACTCACAGAGTGGAACCTTCCTTTATTCAGAGCAGTTTTGAAACACTCTTTTTGTGGAATTTGCAAGTGGAGATTTCAAGCGATTTGACGCCAATCTTAGACATGGAAAAATCTTCATATTAAAAGTACACAGAGTCATTCGCAGAAACTAGTTTGTGATGTGTGCCTTCAACTCACAGAGTTTAACCTTTCTTTTCATAGAGCAGTTTGGAAACACTCTATTTGTAAAGTCTGCAAGTGGATATTTGGACCTCTTTGAGGCCTTCGTTGGAAACGGGATTTCTTCATATAACGCTAGACAGAAGAATTCTCAGTAACTTCTTTGTGTTGTGTGTATTCCACTCACAGAGTTGAACCTTTCTTGAGAGAGAGCAGAGTTGAAACACTCTGTTTGTGGAATTTGCTAGTGCAGATTTCAAACGCTTCGAAGACAGTGATAGAAAAGGATATATCTTCGTATTAAAACTAGACAAAATCATTCTCAGAAAACACCTTGTGATGTGTGTGTTCAACTCACAGAGTTTAACATTTCTTTAATCGAGCAGTTTGGAAATACACTCTTTGTAAGTCTGCAGCTGGATAATTGTCCCTCTATGAGCCCTTCGTTGGAAACGGGATTTCCTCTTATAATGCTAGAGAGAAGAATTCTCAGTAACTTCTTTGTGTTGTGTGTATTCAAGTCACAGAGTTGAACCTTCCTTTACACAGAGCAGTTTTGAAAAACTCTTTCTGTGGAATTTGCAAGTGGAGATTTCAAGCGATTTGAGGCTAATCTTTGAAATGGAAATATCTTCGTGTAAAAACTACACAGAATCATTCTCAGAAACTGCTTTGTTATGTGTGCGTTCAGCTCACAGAGTTCCACCTTTCTTTTCATAGAGCAGTTTGGAAAGACTCTGTCTGTAAAGTCTGCAAGTGATTACTTGGACCCCTTTGAGGACTTCGTTGGAAGCGGGATTTTTTCATTTACTGCTAGACAGAAGAATTCTCAGTAAATCCTTTGTGTTGTGTGTATTCAACTCACAGAGTGGAACCTTCCTTTATTCAGAGCAGTTTTGAAACACTCTTTTTGTGGAATTTGCAAGTGGAGATTTCAAGCGAATTCACGCCAATCTTAGACATGGAAACATCTTCGTATTAAAAGTACACAGAGTCATTCGCAGAAACTAGTTTGTGATGTGTGCCTTCATCTCACAGAGTTTAAGCTTTCTTTTCATAGAGCAGTTTGGAAACACTCTATTTGTAAAGTCTGCAAGTGGATATTTGGACCTCTTTGAGGCCTTCGTTGGAAACGGGATTTCTTCATATAACGCTAGACAGAAGAATTCTCAGTAACTTCTTTGTGTTGTGTGTATTCAACTCACAGAGTTGAACCTTTCTTTAGAGGGAGCAGAAGTGAAACACTCTTTTTGTGGAATTTGCTAGTGTAGATTTCAAACGCTTCGAAGACAGTGATAGAAAAGGATATATCTTCGTATTAAAAGTAGACAAAATCATTCTCAGAAAACTCTTTGTGATGTGTGTGTTCAACTCACAGAGTTTAACCTTTCTTTTCATAGAGCAGTTTGGAAACACTCTGTTTGTAAAGCCTGCAAGTGCTTTTTTGGACTTCATTGAGGCCTTCGTTGGAAACGGGATTTCTTCATACAACGCTAGACAGAAGAATTCTCAGTAACTTCTTTGTGTTGTGTGTATTCAACTCACAGAGTTGAACCTTTCTTTAGAGAGAGCAGAGTTGAAACACTCTGTTTTTGGAATTTGCAAGTTCAGATTTCAAGCGCTTCTAGGCCTATGGCAGAAAAGGAAATATCTTCGTATAAAAACTACACAGAATCATTCTCAACAACTACTTTGTGATGTGTGCGTTCAACTCACAGAGTTTAACCTTTCTTTTCATAGAGCAGTTTGGAAACACTCTGTTTGTAAAGCCTGCAAGTGCTTTTTTGGACTTCATTGAGGCCTTCGTTGGAAACGGGGTTTCTTCATATAATGCTAGACAGAAGAATTCTCAGTCACTTCTTTGTGTTGTGTGTATTCAAGTCACAGAGTTGAACCTTCCTTTAGACAGAGCAGTTTTGAAAAATTCTTTCTGTGGAGTTTGCAAGTGGAGATTTCAAGCGATTTGAGGCTAATCTTTGAAATGGAAATATCTTCGTGTAAAAACTACACAGAATCATTCTCAGAAACTGCTTTGTCATCTGTGCGTTCAGTTCACAGAGTTTCACCTTTCTCTTCATAGAGCAGTTTGGAAAGACTCTGTCTGTAAAGTCTGCAAGTGATTAGTTAGACCCCTTTGAGGCCTTCGTTGGAAGCGGGATTTCTCATTTACTGCTAGACAGAAGAATTCTCAGTAAATCCTTTGTGTTGTGTGTATTCAACTCACAGAGTGGAACCTTCCTTTATTCAGAGCAGTTTTGAAAAACACTTTTTGTGGAATTTGCAAGTGGAGATTTCAAGCGATTTGATGCCAATCTTAGACATGGAAATGTCTTCATATTAAAAGTACACAGAATCATTCTCAACAACTACTTTGTGATGTGTGCGTTAAACTCACAGTTTAACCTTTCTTTTCATAGAGCAGTTTGGAAACACTCTATTTGTAAAATCTGCAAGTGGATATTTGGACCTCTTTGAGGCCTTCGTTGGAAACGGGATTTCTTCATACAACGCTAGACAGAAGAATTCTCAGTAACTTCTTTGTGTTGTGTGTATTCAACTCACAGAGTTGAACCTTTCTTTAGAGAGAGCAGAGTTGAAACACTCTGTTTTTGGAATTTGCAAGTGCAGATATCAAGCGATTCTAGGCCTATGGCAGAAAAGGAAATATCTTCGTATAAAAACTGCACAGAATCATTCTCAACAACTACTTTGTGATGTGTGCGTTCAACTCACAAAGTTTAACCTTTCTTTTCATAGCGCAGTTTGGAAACACTCTGTTTGTAAAGCCTGCAATTGCTTTTTTGGACTTCATTGAGGCCTTCGTTGGAAACGGGATTTCTTCATATAATGCTAGACAGAAGAATTCTCAGTCACTTCTTTGTGTTGTGTGTATTCAAGTCACAGAGTTGAACCTTCTTTTAGACAGAGCAGTTTTGAAAAATTCTTTCTGTGGAATTTGCAAGTGGAGATTTCAAGCGACTTGAGGCTAATCTTTGAAATGGAAATATCTTCGTGTCAAAACTACACAGAATCATTCTCAGAAACTGCTTTGTTATCTGTCCGTTCAGTTCAGAGAGTTTCACCTTTCTCTTCATAGAGCAGTTTGGAAAGACTCTGTCTGTAAAGTCTGCAAGTGATTAGTTAGACCCCTTTGAGGCCTTCGTTGGAAGCGGGATTTCTCATTTACTGCTAGACAGAAGAATTCTCAGTAAATCCTTTGTGTTGTGTGTATTCAACTCACAGAGTGGAACCTTCCTTTATTCAGAGCAGTTTTGAAAAACACTTTTTGTGGAATTTGCAAGTGGAGATTTCAAGCGATTTGACGCCAATCTTAGACATGGAAAAATCTTCATATTAAAAGTACACAGAGTCATTCGCAGAAACTAGTTTGTGATGTGTGCCTTCAACTCACAGAGTTTAACTTTTCTTTTCATAGAGCAGTTTGGAAACACTCTGTTTGTAACGTCTGCAAGTGGATATTTGGACCTCTTTGAGGCCTTCGTTGGAAACGGGATTTCTTCATAAAACGCTAGACAGAAGAATTCTCAGTAACTTCTTTGTGTTGTGTGTATTCAACTCACAGAGTTGAACCTTTCTTGAGAGAGAGCAGAGTTGAAACACTCTGTTTGTGGAATTTGCTAGTGCAGATTTCAAACGCTTCGAAGTACAGTGATAGAAAAGGATATATCTTCGTATTAAAACTAGACAAAATCATTCTCAACAACTACTTTGTGATGTGTGCGTTCAACTCACAGAGTTTAACCTTTCTTTTCATAGAGCAGTTTGGAAACACTCTGTTTGTAAAGCCTGCAAGTGCTTTTTTGGACTTCATTGAGGCCTTCGTTGGAAACGGGATTTCTTCATATAATGCTAGACAGAAGAATTCTCAGTCACTTCTTTGTGTTGTGTGTATTCAAGTCACAGAGTTGAACCTTCTTTTAGACAGAGCAGTTTTGAAAAATTCTTTCTGTGGAATTTGCAAGTGGAGATTTCAAGCGATTTGAGGCTAATCTTTGAAATGGAAATATCTTCGTGTCAAAACTACACAGAATCATTCTCAGAAACTGCTTTGTTATGTGTGCGTTCAGCTCACAGAGTTCCACGTTTCTTTTCATAGAGCAGTTTGGAAAGACTCCGTCTGTAAAGTCTGCAAGTGATTACTTGGACCCCTTTGAGGACTTCGTTGGAAGCGGGATTTTTTCATTTACTGCTAGACAGAAGAACTCTCAGTAAATCCTTTGTGTTGTGTGTATTCAACTCACAGAGTGGAACCTTCCTTTATTCAGAGCAGTTTTGAAACACTCTTTTTGTGGAATTTGCAAGTGGAGATTTCAAGCGAATTCACGCCAATCTTAGACATGGAAACATCTTCGTATTAAAAGTACACAGAGTCATTCGCAGAAACTAGTTTGTGATGTGTGCCTTCAACTCACAGAGTTTAACCTTTCTTTTCATAGAGCATTTTGGAAACACTCTATTTGTAAAGTCTGCAAGTGGATATTTGGACCTCTTTGAGGCCTTCGTTGGAAACGGGATTTCTTCATGTAACGCTAGACAGAAGAATTCTCAGTAACTTCTTTGTGTTGTGTGTATTCCACTCACAGAGTTGAACCTTTCTTGAGAGAGAGCAGAGTGGAAACACTCTGTTTGTGGAATTTGCTAGTGCAGATTTCAAACGCTTCGAAGACAGTGATAGAAAAGGATATATCTTCGTATTAAAACTAGACAAAATCATTCTCAGAAAACACTTTGTGATGTGTGTGTTCAACTCACAGAGTTTAACCTTTCTTTAATCGAGCAGTTTGGAAATACACTCTTTGTAAGTCTGCAGCTGGATAATTGTCCCTCTATGAGCCCTTCGTTGGAAACGGGATTTCCTCTTATAATGCTAGACAGAAGAATTCTCAGTAACTTCTTTGTGTTGTTTGTATTCAACTCACAGATTTGAACCTTCCTTTAGAGAGAGCAGATTTGAAACACTCTGTTTTTGGAATTTGCAAGTGCAGATTACAAGCCCTTCTAGGCCTATGGCAGAAAAGGAAATATCTTCGTATAAAAACTACACAGAATCATTCTCAACAACTACTTTGTGATGTGTGCGTTCAACTCACAGAGTTTAACCTTTCTTTTCATAGAGCAGTTTGGAAACACTCTGTTTGTAAAGCCTGCAAGTGCTTTTTTGGACTTCATTGAGGCCTTCGTTGGAAACGGGATTTCTTCATACAACGCTAGACAGAAGAATTCTCAGTAACTTCTTTGTGTTGTGTGTATTCAACTCACAGAGTTGAACCTTTCTTTAGAGGGAGCAGAGGTGAAACACTCTTTTTGTGGAATTTGCTAGTGTAGATTTCAAACGCTTCGAAGACAGTGATAGAAAAGGATATATCTTCGTATTAAAAGTAGACAAAATCATTCTCAGAAAACTCTTTGTGATGTGTGTGTTCAACTCACAGAGTTTAACCTTTCTTTAATCGAGCAGTTTGGAAATACACTCTTTGTAAGTCTGCAGGTGGATATTTGTCCCTCTTTGAGCCCTTCGTTGGAAACGGGATTTCCTCATATAATGCTAGACAGAAGAATTCTCAGTAACTTCTTTGTGTTGTTTGTATTCAACACACAGATTTGAACCTTCCTTTAGAGAGAGCAGATTTGAAACACTCTGTTTTTGGAATTTGCAAGTGCAGATTTCAAGCGCTTCTAGGCCTATGGCAGAAAAGGAAATATCTTCGTATAAAAACTACACAGAATCATTCTCAACAACTACTTTGTGATGTGTGCGTTCAACTCACAGAGTTTAACCTTTCTTTTCATAGAGCAGTTTGGAAACACTCTGTTTGTAAATCCTGCAAGTGCTTTTATGGACTTCATTGAGGCCTTCGTTGGAAACGGGATTTCTTCATATAATGCTAGACAGAAGAATTCTCAGTCACTTCTTTGTGTTGTGTGTATTCAAGTCACAGAGTTGAACCTTCCTTTAGACAGAGCAGTTTTGAAAAATTCTTTCTGTGGAGTTTGCAAGTGGAGATTTCAAGCGATTTGAGGCTAATCTTTGAAATGGAAATATCTTCGTGTAAAAACTACACAGAATCATTCTCAGAAACTGCTTTGTCATCTGTGCGTTCAGTTCACAGAGTTTCACCTTTCTCTTCATAGAGCAGTTTGGAAAGACTCTGTCTGTAAAGTCTGCAAGTGATTAGTTAGACCCCTTTGAGGCCTTCGTTGGAAGCGGGATTTCTCATTTACTGCTAGACAGAAGAATTCTCAGTAAATCCTTTGTGTTGTGTGTATTCCACTCACAGAGTTGAACCTTCCTTTATTCAGAGCAGTTTTGAAAAACACTTTTTGTGGAATTTGCAAGTGGAGATTTCAAGCGATTTCACGCCAATCTTAGACATGGAAATATCTTCATATTAAAAGTACACAGAATCATTCTCAGAAAACTCTTTGTGATGTGTGTGTTCAACTCACAGAGTTTAACCTTTCTTTAATCGAGCAGTTTGGAAATACACTCTTTGTAAGTCTGCAGGTGGATAATTGTCCCTCTTTGAGCCCTTCGTTGGAAACGGGATTTCCTCATATAATGCTAGACAGAAGAATTCTCAGTAACTTCTTTGTGTTGTGTGTATTCAACTCACAGAGTTGAACCTTTCTTTAGAGGGAGCAGAGGTGAAACACTCTTTTTGTGGAATTTGCTAGTGTAGATTTCAAACGCTTCGAAGACAGTGATAGAAAAGGATATATCTTCGTATTAAAAGTAGACAAAATCATTCTCAGAAAACTCTTTGTGATGTGTGTGTTCAACTCACAGAGTTTAACCTTTCTTTAATCGAGCAGTTTGGAAATACACTCTTTGTAAGTCTGCAGGTGGATATTTGGCCCTCTTTGAGTCCTTCGTTGGAAACGGGATTTCCTCATATAATGCTAGACAGAAGAATTCTCAGTCACTTCTTTGTGTTGTGTGTATTCAAGTCACAGAGTTGAACCTTCCTTTAGACAGAGCAGTTTTGAAAAGTTCTTTCTGTGTAATTTGCAAGTGGAGATTTCAAGCGATTTGAGGCTAATCTTTGAAATGGAAATATCTTCGTGTAAAAACTACACAGAATCATTCTCAGAAACTGCTTTGTCATCTGTGCGTTCAGTTCACAGAGTTTCACCTTTCTCTTCATAGAGCAGTTTGGAAAGACTCTGTCTGTAAAGTCTGCAAGTGATTAGTTAGACCCCTTTGAGGCCTTCGTTGGAAGCGGGATTTCTCATTTACTGCTAGACAGAAGAATTCTCAGTAAATCCTTTGTGTTGTGTGTATTCAACTCACAGAGTGGAACCTTCCTTTATTCAGAGCAGTTTTGAAACACTCTTTTTGTGGAATTTGCAAGTGGAGATTTCAAGCGATTTGACGCCAATCTTAGACATGGAAATATCTTCATATTAAAAGTACACAGAGTCATTCGTAGAAACTAGTTTGTGATGTGTGCCTTCAAATCACAGAGTTTAACCTTTCTTTTCATAGAGCAGTTTGGAAACACTCTATTTGTAAAGTCTGCAAGTGGATATTTGGACCTCTTTGAGGCCTTCGTTGGAAACGGGATTTCTTCATACAACACTAGACAGAAGAATTCTCAGTAACTTCTTTGTGTTGTTTGTATTCAACTCACAGATTTGAACTTTCCTTTAGAGAGAGGAGATTTGAAACACTCTGTTTTTGGAAATTGTAAGTGCAGATTACAAGCGCTTCTAGGCCTATGGCAGAAAAGGAAATATCTTCGTGTAAAAACTACACAGAATCATTCTCAACAACTACTTTGTGATGTGTGCTTTCAACTCACAGAGTTTAACCTTTCTTTTCATAGAGCAGTTTGGAAACACTCTGTTTGTAAAGTCTGCAGGTGCTTATTTGGACTTCTTTGAGGCCTTCGTTGGAAACGGGATTTCTTCATATAATGCTAGACAGAAGAATTCTCAGTCACTTCTTTGTGTTGTGTGTATTCAAGTCACAGAGTTGAACCTTCCTTTACACAGAGCAGTTTTGAAAAACTCTTTCTGTGGAATTTGCAAGTGGAGATTTCAAGCGATTTCAGGCTAATCTTTGAAATGGAAATATCTTCGTGTAAAAACTGCACAGAATCATTCTCAGAAACTGCTTTGTTATCTGTGCGTTCAGTTCACAGAGTTTCACTTTTCTCTTCATAGAGCAGTTTGGAAAGACTCTGTCTGTAAAGTCTGCAAGTGATTAGTTAGACCCCTTTGAGGCCTTCGTTGGAAGCGGGATTTCTCATTTACTGCTAGACAGAAGAATTCTCAGTAAATCCTTGGTGTTGTGTGTATTCAACTCACAGAGTTGAGCCTTCCTTTATTCAGAGAAGTTTTGAAAAACACTTTTTGTGGAATTTGCAAGTGCAGATTTCAAGCGATTTGACGCCAATCTTAGACGTGGAAATATCTTCATATTAAAAGTACACAGAGTCATTCTTAGAAACTAGTTTGTGAAGTGTGCCTTCAACTCACAGAGTTTAACCTTTCTTTTCATAGAGCAGTTTAGAAACACTCTATTTCTAAAGTCTGCAAGTAGATATTTGGACCTCTTTGAGGCCTTCGTTGGAAACGGGATTTCTTCATATAACGCTAGACAGAAGAATTCTCAGTAACTTCTTTGTGTTGTGTGTATTCAACTCACAGAGTTGAACCTTTCTTGAGAGAGAGCAGAGTGGAAACACTCTTTTTGTGGAATTTGCTAGTGCAGATTTCAAACGCTTCGAAGACAGTGATAGAAAAGGATATATCTTCGTATTAAAACTAGACAAAATCATTCTCAGAAAACACTTTGTGATGTGTGTGTTCAACTCACAGAATTTAACCTTTCTTTAATCGAGCAGTTTGGAAATACACTCTTTGTAAGTCTGCAGGTGGATAATTGTCCCTCTATGAGCCCTTCGTTGGAAACGGGATTTCCTCATATAATGCTAGACAGAAGAATTCTCAGTAACTTCTTTGTGTTGTTTGTATTCAACTCACAGATTTGAACCTTCCTTTAGAGGGAGCAGATTTGAAACACTCTGTTTTTGGAAATTGCAAGTGCAGATTTCAAGCGCTTCTAGGCCTATGGCAGAAAAGGAAATATCTTCGTATAAAAACTACACAGAATCATTCTCAACAACTACTTTGTGATGTGTGCGTTCAACTCACAGAGTTTAACCTTTCTTTTCATAGAGCAGTTTGGAAACACTCTGTTTGTAAAGTCTGCAGGTGCTTATTTGGACTTCTTTGAAGCCTTCGTTGGAAACGGGATTTCTTCATATAATGCTAGACAGCAGAATTCTCAGTCACTTCTTTGTGTTGTGTGTATTCAAGTCACAGAGTTGAACCTTCCTTTACACAGAGCAGTTTTGAAAAACTCTTTTTGTGGAATTTGCAAGTGGAGATTTCAAGCGATTTGAGGCTAATCTTTGAAATGGAAATATCTTCGTGTAAAAACTACACAGAATCATTGTCAGAAACTGCTTTGTTATGTGTGCGTTCAGCTCACAGAGTTCCACCTTTCTTTTCATAGAGCAGTTTGGAAAGACTCTGTAAAGTCTGCAAGTGATTACTTGGACCCCTTTGAGGACTTCATTGGAAGCGGGATTTTTTCATTTACTGCTAGACAGAAGAATTCTCAGTAAATCCTTTGTGTTGTGTGTATTCAACTCACAGAGTGGAACCTTCCTTTATTCAGAGCAGTTTTGAAACACTCTTTTTGTGGAATTTGCAAGTGGAGATTTCAAGCGAATTCACGCCAATCTTAGACATGGAAACATCTTCGTATTAAAAGTACACAGAGTCATTCGCAGAAACTAGTTTGTGATGTGTGCCTTCAACTCACAGAGTTTAACCTTTCTTTTCATAGAGCAGTTTGGAAACACTCTATTTGTAAAGTCTGCAAGTGGATATTTGGACCTCTTTGAGGCCTTCGTTGGAAACGGGATTTCTTCATATAATGCTAGACAGAAGAATTCTCAGTAACTTCTTTGTGTTGTGTGTATTCCACTCACAGAGTTGAACCTTTCTTGAGAGAGAGCAGAGTTGAAACACTCTGTTTGTGGAATTTGCTAGTGCAGATTTCAAACGCTTCGAAGACAGTGATAGAAAAGGATATATCTTCGTATTAAAACTAGACAAAATCATTCTCAGAAAACACTTTGTGATGTGTGTGTTCAACTCACAGAGTTTAACCTTTCTTTAATCGAGCAGTTTGGAAATACACTCTTTGTAAGTCTGCAGCTGGATAATTGTCCCTCTATGAGCCCTTCGTTGGAAACGGGATTTCCTCTTATAATGCTAGACAGAAGAATTCTCAGTAACTTCTTTGTGTTGTTTGTATTCAACTCACAGATTTGAACCTTCCTTTGGAGAGAGCAGATATGAAACACTCTGTTTTTGGAATTTGCAAGTGCAGATTGCAAGCGCTTCTAGGCCTATGGCAGAAAAGGAAATATCTTCGTATAAAAACTACACAGAATCATTCTCAACAACTACTTTGTGATGTGTGCGTTCAACTCACAGAGTTTAACCTTTCTTTTCATAGAGCAGTTTGGAAACACTCTGTTTGTAAAGCCTGCAAGTGCTTTTTTGGACTTCATTGAGGCCTTCGTTGGAAACGGGATTTCTTCATATAATGCTAGACAGAAGAATTCTCAGTCACTTCTTTGTGTTGTGTGTATTCAAGTCACAGAGTTGAACCTTCTTTTAGACAGAGCAGTTTTGAAAAATTTTTTCTGTGGAATTTGCAAGTGGAGATTTCAAGCGATTTGAGGCTAATCTTTGAAATGGAAATATCTTCGTGTAAAAACTACACAGAATCATTGTCAGAAACTGCTTTGTTATGTGTGCGTTCAGCTCACAGAGTTCCACCTTTCTTTTCATAGAGCAGTTTGGAAAGACTCTGTCTGTAAAGTCTGCAAGTGATTACTTGGACCCCTTTGAGGACTTCGTTGGAAGCGGGATTTTTTCATTTACTGCTAGACAGAAGAATTCTCAGTAAATCCTTTGTGTTGTGTGTATTCAACTCACAGAGTGGAACCTTCCTTTATTCAGAGCACTTTTGAAACACTCTTTTTGTGGAATTTGCAAGTGGAGATTTCAAGCGAATTCACGCCAATCTTAGACATGGAAACATCTTCGTATTAAAAGTACACAGAGTCATTCGCAGAAACTAGTTTGTGATGTGTGCCTTCAACTCACGGAGTTTAACCTTTCTTTTCATAGAGCAGTTTGGAAACACTCTATCTGTAAAGTCTGTAAGTGGATATTTGGACCTCTTTGAGGCCTTCGTTGGAAACGGGATTTCTTCATATAACGCTAGACAGAAGAATTCTCAGTAACTTCTTTGTGTTGTGTGTATTCAACTCACAGAGTTGAACCTTTCTTGAGAGAGAGCAGAGTTGAAACACTCTGTTTGTGGAATTTGCTAGTGCAGATTTCAAACGCTTCGAAGACAGTGATAGAAAAGGATATATCTTCGTATTAAAACTAGACAAAATCATTCTCAGAAAACACTTTGTGATGTGTGTGTTCAACTCACAGAGTTTAACCTTTCTTTAATCGAGCAGTTTGGAAATACACTCTTTGTAAGTCTGCAGCTGGATAATTGTCCCTCTATGAGCCCTTCGTTGGAAACGGGATTTCCTCTTATAATGCTAGACAGAAGAATTCTCAGTCACTTCTTTGTGTTGTGTGTATTCAAGTCACAGAGTTGAACCTTCCTTTAGACAGAGCAGTTTTGAAAAATTCTTTCTGTGTAATTTGCAAGTGGAGATTTCAAGCGATTTGAGGCTAATCTTTGAAATGGAAATATCTTCGTGTAAAAACTACACAGAATCATTCTCAGAAACTGCTTTGTTATGTGTGCGTTCAGCTCACAGAGTTCCACCTTTCTTTTCATAGAGCAGTTTGGAAAGACTCTGTCTGTAAAGTCTGCAAGTGATTACTTGGACCCCTTTGAGGACTTCGTTGGAAGCGGGATTTTTTCATTTACTGCTAGACAGAAGAATTCTCAGTAAATCCTTTGTGTTGTGTGTATTCAACTCACAGAGTGGAACCTTCCTTTATTCAGAGCACTTTTGAAACACTCTTTTTGTGGAATTTGCAGGTGGAGATTTCAAGCGAATTCACGCCAATCTTAGACATGGAAACATCTTCGTATTAAAAGTACACAGAGTCATTCGCAGAAACTAGTTTGTGATGTGTGCCTTCAACTCACAGAGTTTAAGCTTTCTTTTCATAGAGCAGTTTGGAAACACTCTATTTGTAAAGTCTGCAAGTGGATATTTGGACCTCTTTGAGGCCTTCGTTGGAAACGGGATTTCTTCATATAACGCTAGACAGAAGAATTCTCAGTAACTTCTTTGTGTTGTTTGTATTCAACTCACAGATTTGAACCTTCCTTTAGAGAGAGCAGATTTGAAACACTCTGTTTTTGGAATTTGCAAGTGCAGATTACAAGCGCTTCTAGGCCTATGGCAGAAAAGGAAATATCTTCGTATAAAAACTACACAGAATCATTCTCAACAACTACTTTGTGATGTGTGCGTTCAACTCACAGAGTTTAACCTTTCTTTTCATAGAGCAGTTTGGAAACACTCTGTTTGTAAAGCCTGCAAGTGCTTTTTTGGACTTCATTGAGGCCTTCGTTGGAAACGGGATTTCTTCATATAATGCTAGACAGAAGAATTCTCAGTCACTTCTTTGTGTTGTGTGTATTCAAGTCACAGAGTTGAACCTTCCTTTAGACAGAGCAGTTTTGAAAAGTTCTTTCTGTGTAATTTGCAAGTGGAGATTTCAAGCGATTTGAGGCTAATCTTTGAAATGGAAATATCTTCGTGTAAAAACTACACAGAATCATTCTCAGAAACTGCTTTGTCATCTGTGCGTTCAGTTCACAGAGTTTCACCTTTCTCTTCATAGAGCAGTTTGGAAAGACTCTGTCTGTAAAGTCTGCAAGTGATTAGTTAGACCCCTTTGAGGCCTTCGTTGGAAGCGGGATTTCTCATTTACTGCTAGACAGAAGAATTCTCAGTAAATCCTTTGTGTTGTGTGTATTCAACTCACAGAGTGGAACCTTCCTTTATTCAGAGCAGTTTTGAAACACTCTTTTTGTGGAATTTGCAAGTGGAGATTTCAAGCGAATTCACGCCAATCTTAGACATGGAAACATCTTCGTATTAAAAGTACACAGAATCATTCTCAGAAAACATTTTGTGATGTGTGTGTTCAACTCACAGAGTTTAACCTTTCTTTAATCGAGCAGTTTGGAAATACACTCTTTGTAAGTCTGCAGGTGGATAATTGGCCCTCTTTGAGCCCTTCGTTGGAAACGGGATTTCCTCATATAATGCTAGACAGAAGAATTCTCAGTAACTTGTTTGTGTTGTTTGTATTCAACTCACAGATTTGAACCTTCCTTTAGAGAGAGCAGATTTGAAACACTCTGTTTTTGGAATTTGCAAGTGCAGATTTCAAGCGCTTCTAGGCCTATGGCAGAAAAGGAAATATCTTCGTATAAAAACTACACAGAGTCATTCGCAGAAACTAGTTTGTGATGTGTGCGTTCAACTCACAGAGTTTAACCTTTCTTTTCATAGAGCAGTTTGGAAACACTCTGTTTGTAAAGTCTGCAGGTGCTTATTTGGACTTCTTTGAGGCCTTCGTTGGAAACGGGATTTCTTCATATAATGCTAGACAGAAGAATTCTCAGTCACTTCTTTGTGTTGTGTGTATTCAACTCACAGAGTTGAACCTTCCTTTACACAGAGCAGTTTTGAAAAACTCTTTCTGTGGAATTTGCAAGTGGAGATTTCAAGCGATTTGAGGCTAATCTTTGAAATGGAAATATCTTCGTGTAAAAACTACACAGAATCATTCTCAGAAACTGCTTTGTCATCTGTGCGTTCAGTTCACAGAGTTTCACCTTTCTCTTCATAGAGCAGTTTGGAAAGACTCTGTCTGTAAAGTCTGCAAGTGATTAGTTAGACCCCTTTAAGGCCTTCGTTGGAAGCGGGATTTCTCATTTACTGCTAGACAGAAGAATTCTCAGTAAATCCTTTGTGTTGTGTGTATTCAACTCACAGAGTGGAACCTTCCTTTATTCAGAGCAGTTTTGAAACACTCTTTTTGTGGAATTTGCAAGTGGAGATTTCAAGCGATTTGACGCCAATCTTAGACATGGAAATATCTTCATATTAAAAGTACACAGAGTCATTCGTAGAAACTAGTTTGTGATGTGTGCCTTCAACTCACAGAGTTTAACCTTTCTTTTCATAGAGCAGTTGGGAAACACTCTATTTGTAAAGTCTGCAAGTGGATATTTGGACCTCTTTGAGGCCTTCGTTGGAAACGGGATTTCTTCATATAACGCTAGACAGAAGAATTCTCAGTAACTTCTTTGTGTTGTGTGTATTCAACTCACAGAGTTGAACCTTTCTTTAGAGGGAGCAGAGGTGAAACACTCTTTTTGTGGAATTTGCTGGTGTAGATTTCAAACGCTTCGAAGACAGTGATAGAAAAGGATATATCTTCGTATTAAAAGTAGACAAAATCATTCTCAGAAAACTCTTTGTGATGTGTGTGTTCAACTCACAGAGTTTAACCTTTCTTTAATCGAGCAGTTTGGAAATACACTCTTTGTAAGTCTGCAGGTGGATATTTGGCCCTCTTTGAGCCCTTCGTTGGAAACGGGATTTCCTCATATAATGCTAGACAGAAGAATTCTCAGTAACTTCTTTGTGTTGTTTGTATTCAACACACAGATTTGAACCTTCCTTTAGAGAGAGCAGATTTGAAACACTCTGTTTTTGGAATTTGCAAGTGCAAATTTCAAGCGCTTCTAGGCCTATGGCAGAAAAGGAAATATCTTCGTATAAAAACTACACAGAATCATTCTCAACAGCTACTTTGTGATGTGTGCGTTCAACTCACAGAGTTTAACCTTTCTTTTCATAGAGCAGTTTGGAAACACTCTGTTTGTAAAGCCTGCAAGTGCTTTTTTGGACTTCATTGAGGCCTTCGTTGGAAACGGGATTTCTTCATATAATGCTAGACAGAAGAATTCTCAGTCACTTCTTTGTGTTGTGTGTATTCAAGTCACAGAGTTGAACCTTCCTTTAGACAGAGCAGTTTTGAAAAATTCTTTCTGTGGAGTTTGCAAGTGGAGATTTCAAGCGATTTGAGGCTAATCTTTGAAATGGAAATATCTTCGTGTAAAAACTACACAGAATCATTCTCAGAAACTGCTTTGTCATCTGTGCGTTCAGTTCACAGAGTTTCACCTTTCTCTTCATAGAGCAGTTTGGAAAGACTCTGTCTGTAAAGTCTGCAAGTGATTAGTTAGACCCCTTTGAGGCCTTCGTTGGAAGCGGGATTTCTCATTTACTGCTAGACAGAAGAATTCTCAGTAAATCCTTTGTGTTGTGTGTATTCAACTCACAGAGTGGAACCTTCCTTTATTCAGAGCAGTTTTGAAACACTCTTTTTGTGGAATTTGCAAGTGGAGATTTCAAGCGAATTCACGCCAATCTTAGACATGGAAACATCTTCGTATTAAAAGTACACAGAGTCATTCGTAGAAACTAGTTTGTGATGTGTGCCTTCAACTCGCAGAGTTTAACCTTTCTTTTCATAGAGCAGTTGGGAAACACTCTATTTGTAAAGTCTGCAAGTGGATATTTGGACCTCTTTGAGGCCTTCGTTGGAAACGGGATTTCTTCATATAACGCTAGACAGAAGAATTCTCAGTAACTTCTTTGTGTTGAGTGTATTCAACTCACAGAGTTGAACCTTTCTTTAGAGGGAGCAGAGGTGAAACACTCTTTTTGTGGAATTTGCTAGTGTAGATTTCAAACGCTTCGAAGACAGTGATAGAAAAGGAGATATCTTCGTATTAAAAGTAGACAAAATCATTGTCAGAAAACTCTTTGTGATGTGTGTGTTCAACTCACAGAGTTTAACCTTTCTTTAATCGAGCAGTTTGGAAATACACTCTTTGTAAGTCTGCAGGTGGATATTTGGCCCTCTTTGAGCCCTTCTTTGGAAACGGGATTTCCTCTTATAATGCTAGACAGAAGAATTCTCAGTAACTTCTTTGTGTTGTGTGTATTCAACTCACAGAGTTGAACCTTTCTTTAGAGAGAGCCGAGTTGAAACACTCTGTTTTTGGAATTTGCAAGTGCAGATTTCAAGCGATTCTAGGCCTATGGCAGAAAAGGAAATATCTTCGTATAAAAACTACACAGAATCATTCTCAACAACTACTTTGTGATGTGTGCGTTCAACTCACAGAGTTTAACCTTTCTTTTCATAGAGCAGTTTGGAAACACTCTGTTTGTAAAGCCTGCAAGTGCGTTTTTGGACTTCATTGAGGCCTTCGTTGGAAACGGGATTCTTCATATAATGCTAGACAGAGAAGATTCTCAGTCACTTCTTTGTGTTGTGTGTATTCAAGTCACAGAGTTGAACCTTCCTTTAGACAGAGCAGTTTTGAAAAATTCTTTCTGTGTAATTTGCAAGTGGAGATTTCAAGCGATTTGAGGCTAATCTTTGAAATGGAAATATCTTCGTGTAAAAACTACACAGATCATTCTCAGAAACTGCTTTGTCATCTGTGCGTTCAGTTCACAGAGTTTCACCTTTCTCTTCATAGAGCAGTTTGGAAAGACTCTGTCTGTAAAGTCTGCAAGTGATTAGTTAGACCCCTTTGAGGCCTTCGTTGGAAGCGGGATTTCTCATTTACTGCTAGACAGAAGAATTCTCAGTAACTTCTTTGTGTTGTTTGTATTCAACACACAGATTTGAACCTTCCTTTAGAGAGAGCAGATTTGAAACACTCTGTTTTTGGAATTTGCAAGTGCAGATTTCAAGCGCTTCTAGGCCTATGGCAGAAAAGGAAATATCTTCGTATAAAAACTACACAGAATCATTCTCAACAACTACTTTGTGATGATTGCGTTCAACTCACAGAGGTTAACCTTTCTTTTCAGAGAGCAGTTTGGAAACACTCTGTTTGTAAAGCCTGCAAGTGCTTTTTTGGACTTCATTGAGGCCTTCGTTGGAAACGAGATTTCTTCATATAATGCTAGACAGAAGAATTCTCAGTCACTTCTTTGTGTTGTGTGTGTTCAAGTCACAGAGTTGAACCTTCCTTTAGACAGAGCAGTTTTGAAAAATTCTTTCTGTGGAGTTTGCAAGTGGAGATTTCAAGCGATTTGAGGCTAATCTTTGAAATGGAAATATCTTCGTGTAAAAACTACACAGAATCATTGTCAGAAACTGCTTTGTTATGTGTGCGTTCAGCTCACAGAGTTCCACCTTTCTTTTCATAGAGCAGTTTGGAAAGACTCTGTCTGTAAAGTCTGCAAGTGATTACTTGGACCCCTTTGAGGACTTCGTTGGAAGCGGGATTTTTTCATTTACTGCTAGACAGAAGAATTCTCAGTAAATCCTTTGTGTTGTGTGTATTCAACTCACAGAGTGGAACCTTCCTTTATTCAGAGCAGTTTTGAAACACTCTTTTTGTGGAATTTGCAAGTGGAGATTTCAAGCGAATTCACGCCAATCTTAGACATGGAAACATCTTCGTATTAAAAGTACACAGAGTCATTCGCAGAAACTAGTTTGTGATGTGTGCCTTCAACTCACGGAGTTTAACCTTTCTTTTCATAGAGCAGTTTGGAAACACTCTATTTGTAAAGTCTGCAAGTGGATATTTGGACCTCTTTGAGGCCTTCGTTGGAAACGGGATTTCTTCATATAACGCTAGACAGAAGAATTCTCAGTAACTTCTTTGTGTTGTGTGTATTCCACTCACAGAGTTGAACCTTTCTTGAGAGAGAGCAGAGTGGAAACACTCTGTTTGTGTAATTTGCTAGTGCAGATTTCAAACGCTTCGAAGACAGTGATAGAAAAGGATATATCTTCGTATTAAAACTAGACAAAATCATTCTCAGAAAACACTTTGTGATGTGTGTGTTCAACTCACAGAGTTTAACCTTTCTTTAATCGAGCAGTTTGGAAATACACTCTTTGTAAGTCTGCAGCTGGATAATTGTCCCTCTATGAGCCCTTCGTTGGAAACGGGATTTCCTCTTATAATGCTAGACAGAAGAATTCTCAGTCACTTCTTTGTGTTGTGTGTATTCAAGTCACAGAGTTGAACCTTCCTTTAGACAGAGCAGTTTTGAAAAATTCTTTCTGTGGAGTTTGCAAGTGGAGATTTCAAGCGATTTGAGGCTAATCTTTGAAATGGAAATATCTTCGTGTAAAAACTACACAGAATCATTGTCAGAAACTGCTTTGTTATGTGTGCGTTCAGCTCACAGAGTTCCACCTTTCTTTTCATAGAGCAGTTTGGAAAGACTCTGTCTGTAAAGTCTGCAAGTGATTACTTGGACCCCTTTGAGGACTTCGTTGGAAGCGGGATTTTTTCATTTACTGCTAGACAGAAGAATTCTCAGTAAATCCTTTGTGTTGTGTGTATTCAACTCACAGAGTGGAACCTTCCTTTATTCAGAGCACTTTTGAAACACTCTTTTTGTGGAAATTGCAAGTGGAGATTTCAAGCGAATTCACGCCAATCTTAGACGTGGAAACATCTTCGTATTAAAAGTACACAGAGTCATTCGCAGAAACTAGTTTGTGATGTGTGCCTTCAACTCACGGAGTTTAACCTTTCTTTTCATAGAGCAGTTTGGAAACACTCTATTTGTAAAGTCTGCAAGTGGATATTTGGACCTCTTTGAGGCCTTCGTTGGAAACGGGATTTCTTCATATAACGCTAGACAGAAGAATTCTCAGTAACTTCTTTGTGTTGTGTGTATTCCACTCACAGAGTTGAACCTTTCTTGAGAGAGAGCAGAGTTGAAACACTCTGTTTGTGGAATTTGCTAGTGCAGATTTCAAACGCTTCGAAGACAGTGATAGAAAAGGATATATCTTCGTATTAAAACTAGACAAAATCATTCTCAGAAAACACTTTGTGATGTGTGTGTTTAACTCACAGAGTTTAACCTTTCTTTAATCGAGCAGTTTGGAAATACACTCTTTGTAAGTCTGCAGCTGGATAATTGTCCCTCTATGAGCCCTTCGTTGGAAACGGGATTTCCTCTTATAATGCTAGACAGAAGAATTCTCAGTCACTTGTTTGTGTTGTGTGTATTCAAGTCACAGAGTTGAACCTTCCTTTAGACAGAGCAGTTTTGAAAAATTCTTTCTGTGGAGTTTGCAAGTGGAGGTTTCAAGCGATTTGAGGCTAATCTTTGAAATGGAAATATCTTCGTGTAAAAACTACACAGAATCATTCTCAGAAACTGCCTTGTTATGTGTGCGTTCAGCTCACAGAGTTCCACCTTTCTTTTCATAGAGCAGTTTGGAAAGACTCTGTCTGTAAAGTCTGCAAGTGATTACTTGGACCCCTTTGAGGACTTCGTTGGAAGCGGGATTTTTTCATTTACTGCTAGACAGAAGAATTCTCAGTAAATCCTTTGTGTTGTTTGTATTCAACTCACAGAGTGGAACCTTCCTTTATTCAGAGCAGTTTTGAAACACTCTTTTTGTGGAATTTGCAAGTGGAGATTTCAAGCGAATTCACGCCAATCTTAGACATGGAAACATCTTCGTATTAAAAGTACACAGAGTCATTCGCAGAAACTAGTTTGTGATGTGTGCCTTCAACTCACGGAGTTTAACCTTTCTTTTCATAGAGCAGTTTGGAAACACTCTATTTGTAAAGTCTGCAAGTGGATATTTGGACCTCTTTGAGGCCTTCGTTGGAAACGGGATTTCTTCATATAACGCTAGACAGAAGAATTCTCTGTAACTTCTTTGTGTTGTGTGTATTCCACTCACAGAGTTGAACCTTTCTTGAGAGAGAGCAGAGTGGAAACACTCTGTTTGTGGAATTTGCTAGTGCAGATTTCAAACGCTTCGAAGACAGTGATAGAAAAGGATATATCTTCGTATTAAAACTAGACAAAATCATTCTCAACAACTACTTTGTGATGTGTGCGTTCAACTCACAGAGTTTAACCTTTCTTTTCATAGAGCAGTTTGGAAACACTCTGTTTGTAAAGTCTGCAGGTGCTTCTTTGGACTTCTTTGAGGCCTTCGTTGGAAACGGGATTTCTTCATATAATGCTAGACAGAAGAATTCTCAGTCACTTCTTTGTGTTGTGTGTATTCAAGTCACAGAGTTGAACCTTCCTTTACACAGAGCAGTTTTGAAAAACTCTTTCTGTGGAATTTGCAAGTGGAGATTTCAAGCGATTTGAGGCTAATCTTTGAAATGGAAATAGCTTCGTGTAAAAACTACACAGAAATCATTCTCAGAAACTGCTTTGTTATCTGTGCGTTCAGTTCACAGAGTTTAACCTTTCTCTTCATAGAGCAGTTTGGAAAGACTCTGTCTGTAAAGTCCGCAAGTGATTAGTTAGACCCCTTTGAGGCCTTCGTTGGAAGCGGGATTTCCCATTTACTGCTAGACAGAAGAATTCTCAGTAAATCCTTTGTGTTGTGTGTATTCAACTCACAGAGTGGAACCTTCCTTTATTCAGAGCAGTTTTGAAACACTCTTTTTGTGGAATTTGCAAGTGGAGATTTCAAGCGAATTCACGCCCATCTTAGACATGGAAACATCTTCGTATTAAAAGTACACAGAGTCATTCGCAGAAACTAGTTTGTGATGTGTGCCTTCAACTCACAGAGTTTAACCTTTCTTTTCATAGAGCAGTTTGGAAACACTCTATTTGTAAAGTCTGCAAGTGGATATTTGGACCTCTTTGAGGCCTTCGTTGGAAACGGGATTTCTTCGTATAACGCTAGACAGAAGAATTCTCAGTAACTTCTTTGTGTTGTGTGTATTCCACTCACAGAGTTGAACCTTTCTTGAGAGAGAGCAGAGTTGAAACACTCTGTTTGTGGAATTTGCTAGTGCAGATTTCAAACGCTTCGAAGACAGTGATAGAAAAGGATATATCTTCGTATTAAAACTAGACAAAATCATTCTCAGAAAACACTTTGTGATGTGTGTGTTCAACTCACAGAGTTTAACCTTTCTTTAATCGAGCAGTTTGGAAATACACTCTTTGTAAGTCTGCAGCTGGATAATTGTCCCTCTATGAGCCCTTCGTTGGAAACGGGATTTCCTCATATAATGCTAGACAGAAGAATTCTCAGTCACTTCTTTGTGTTGTGTGTATTCAAGTCACAGAGTTGAACCATCCTTTACACAGAGCAGTTTTGAAAAACTCTTTCTGTGGAATTTGCAAGTGGAGATTTCAAGCGATTTGAGGCTAATCTTTGAAATGGAAATAGCTTCGTGTAAAAACTACACAGAATCATTCTCAGAAACTGCTTTGTTATGTGTGCGTTCAGCTCACAGAGTTCCACCTTTCTTTTCATAGAGCAGTTTGGAAAGACTCTGTCTGTAAAGTCTGCAAGTGATTACTTGGACCCCTTTGAGGACTTCGTTGGAAGCGGGATTTTTTCATTTACTGCTAGACAGAAGAATTCTCAGTAAATCCTTTGTGTTGTGTGTATTCAACTCACAGAGTGGAACCTTCCTTTATTCAGAGCAGTTTTGAAACACTCTTTTTGTGGAAATTGCAAGTGGAGATTTCAAGCGAATTCACGCCAATCTTAGACATGGAAACATCTTCGTATTAAAAGTACACAGAGTCATTCGTAGAAACTAGTTTGTGATGTGTGCCTTCAACTCACAGAGTTTAACCTTTCTTTTCATAGAGCAGTTGGGAAACACTCTATTTGTAAAGTCTGCAAGTGGATATTTGGACCTCTTTGAGGCCTTCGTTGGAAACGGGATTTCTTCATATAACGCTAGACAGAAGAATTCTCAGTAACTTCTTTGTGTTGTGTGTATTCAACTCACAGAGTTGAACCTTTCTTTAGAGGGAGCAGAGGTGAAACACTCTTTTTGTGGAATTTGCTAGTGCAGATTTCAAACGCTTCGAAGACAGTGATAGAAAAGGATATATCTTCGTATTAAAAGTAGACAAAATCATTCTCAACAACTACTTTGTGATGTGTGCGTTCAACTCACAAAGTTTAACCTTTCTTTTCATAGAGCAGTTTGGAAACACTCTGTTTGTAAAGCCTGCAATTGCTTTTTTGGACTTCATTGAGGCCTTCGTTGGAAAGGGGATTTCTTCATATAATGCTAGACAGAAGAATTCTCAGTCACTTCTTTGTGTTGTGTGTATTCAAGTCACAGAGTTGAACCTTCCTTTACACAGAGCAGTTTTGAAAAACTCTTTCTGTGGAATTTGCAAGTGGAGATTTCAAGCGATTTGAGGCTAATCTTTGAAATGGAAATATCTTCGTGTAAAAACTACACAGAATCATTCTCAGAAACTGCTTTGTTATGTGTGCGTTCAGCTCACAGAGTTCCACCTTTCTTTTCATAGAGCAGTTTGGAAAGACTCTGTCTGTAAAGTCTGCAAGTGATTACTTGGACCCCTTTGAGGACTTCGTTGGAAGCGGGATTTTTTCATTTACTGCTAGACAGAAGAATTCTCATTAAATCCTTTGTGTTGTGTGTATTCAACTCACAGAGTTGAACCTTCCTTTATTCAGAGAAGTTTTGAAAAACACTTTTTGTGGAATTTGCAAGTGGAGATTTCAAGCGATTTGACACCAATCTTAGACATGGAAATTTCTTCATATTAAAAGTACACAGAGTCATTCGCAGAAACTAGTTTGTGATGTGTGCCTTCAACTCACGGAGTTTAACCTTTCTTTTCATAGAGCAGTTTGGAAACACTCTATTTGTAAAGTCTGCAAGTGGATATTTGGACCTCTTTGAGGCCTTCGTTGGAAACGGGATCTTCTTCATATAACGCTAGACAGAAGAATTCTCAGTAACTTCTCTGTGTTGTTTGTATTCAACACACAGATTTGAACCTTCCTTTAGAGAGAGCAGATTTGAAACACTCTGTTTTTGGAATTTGCAAGTGCAGATTTAAAGCGCTTCTAGGCCTATGGCAGAAAAGGAAATATCTTCCTATAAAAACTACACAGAATCATTCTCAACAACTACTTTGTGATGTGTGCGTTCAACTCACAGAGTTTAACCTTTCTTTTCATAGAGCAGTTTGGAAACACTCTGTTTGTAAAGCCTGCAAGTGCTTTTTTGGACTTCATTGAGGCCTTCGTTGGAAACGGGATTTCTTCATACAACGCTAGACAGAAGAATTCTCAGTAACTTCTTTGTGTTGTTTGTATTCAACTCACAGAGTTGAACCTTTCTTTAGAGAGAGCAGAGTTGAAACACTCTGTTTTTGGAATTTGCAAGTGCAGATTTCAAGCGAATCTAGGCCTATGGCAGAAAAGGAAATATCTTCGTATAAAAACTACACAGAATCATTCTCAACAACTACTTTGTGATGTGTGCGTTCAACTCACAGAGTTTAACCTTTCTTTTCATACAGCAGTTTGGAAACACTCTGTTTGTAAAGCCTGCAAGTGCTTTTTTGGACTTCATTGAGGCCTTCGTTGGAAACGGGATTTCTTCATATAATGCTAGACAGAAGAATTCTCAGTCACTTCTTTGTGTTGTGTGTATTCAAGTCACAGAGTTGAACCTTCCTTTAGACAGAGCAGTTTTGAAAAATTCTTTCTGTGGAGTTTGCAAGTGGAGATTTCAAGCGATTTGAGGCTAATCTTTGAAATGGAAATATCTTCGTGTAAAAACTACACAGAATCATTGTCAGAAACTGCTTTGTTATGTGTGCGTTCAGCTCACAGAGTTCCACCTTTCTTTTCATAGAGCAGTTTGGAAAGACTCTGTCTGTAAAGTCTGCAAGTGATTACTTGGACCCCTTTGAGGACTTCGTTGGAAGCGGGATTTTTTCATTTACTGCTAGACAGAAGAATTCTCAGTAAATCCTTTGTGTTGTGTGTATTCAACTCACAGAGTGGAACCTTCCTTTATTCAGAGCAGTTTTGAAACACTCTTTTTGTGGAAATTGCAAGTGGAGATTTCAAGCGAATTCACGCCAATCTTAGACATGGAAACATCTTCGTATTAAAAGTACACAGAGTCATTCGTAGAAACTAGTTTGTGATGTGTGCCTTCAACTCACAGAGTTTAACCTTTCTTTTCATAGAGCAGTTGGGAAACACTCTATTTGTAAAGTCTGCAAGTGGATATTTGGACCTCTTTGAGGCCTTCGTTGGAAACGGGATTTCTTCATATAACGCTAGACAGAAGAATTCTCAGTAACTTCTTTGTGTTGTGTGTATTCAACTCACAGAGTTGAACCTTTCTTTAGAGGGAGCAGAGGTGAAACACTCTTTTTGTGGAATTTGCTAGTGTAGATTTCAAACGCTTCGAAGACAGTGATAGAAAAGGATATATCTTCGTATTAAAAGTAGACAAAATCATTCTCAGAAAACTCTTTGTGATTTGTGTGTTCAACTCACAGAGTTTAACCTTTCTTTTCATAGAGCAGTTTGGAAACACTCTGTTTGTAAAGCCTGCAAGTGCTTTTTTGGACTTCATTGAGGCCTTCGTTGGAAACGGGATTTCTTCATACAACGCTAGACAGAAGAATTCTCAGTAACTTCTTTGTGTTGTGTGTATTCAACTCACAGAGTTGAACCTTTCTTTAGAGAGAGCAGAGTTGAAACACTCTGTTTTTGGAATTTGCAACTGCAGATTTCAAGCGATTCTAGGCCTATGGCAGAAAAGGAAATATCTTCGTATAAAAACTACACAGAATCATTCTCAACAACTACTTTGTGATGTGTGCGTTCAACTCACAGAGTTTAACCTTTCTTTTCATAGAGCAGTTTGGAAACACTCTGTTTGTAAAGCCTGCAAGTGCTTTTTTGGACTTCATTGAGGCCTTCGTTGGAAACGGGATTTCTTCATATAATGCTAGACAGAAGAATTCTCAGTCACTTCTTTGTGTTGTGTGTATTCAAGTCACAGAGTTGAACCTTCCTTTAGACAGAGCAGTTTTGAAAATTTCTTTCTGTGGAGTTTGCAAGTGGAGATTTCAAGCGATTTGAGGCTAATCTTTGAAATGGAAATATCTTCGTGTAAAAACTACACAGAATCATTCTCAGAAACTGCTTTGTCATCTGTGCGTTCAGTTCACAGAGTATCACCTTTCTCTTCATAGAGCAGTTTGGAAAGACTCTGTCTGTAAAGTCTGCAAGTGATTAGTTAGACCCCTTTGAGGCCTTCGTTGGAAGTGGGATTTCTCATTTACTGCTAGACAGAAGAATTCTCAGTAAATCCTTTGTGTTGTGTGTATTCAACTCACAGAGTGGAACCTTCCTTTATTCAGAGCAGTTTTGAAAAACACTTTTTGTGGAATTTGCAAGTGGAGATTTCAAGCGATTTGACGCCAATCTTAGACATGGAAATATCTTCATATTAAAAGTACACAGAGTCATTCGTAGAAACTAATTTGTGATGTGTGCCTTCAACTCACAGAGTTTAACCTTTCTTTTCATAGAGCAGTTTGGAAACACTCTGTTTGTAAAGTCTGCAAGTGGATATTTGGACCTCTTTGAGGCCTTCGTTGGAAACGGGATTTCTTCATACAACGCTAGACAGAAGAATTCTCAGTAACTTCTTTGTGTTGTGTGTATTCAACTCACAGAGTTGAACCTTTCTTTAGAGAGAGCAGAGTTGAAACACTCTGTTTTTGGAATTTGCAACTGCAGATTTCAAGCGATTCTAGGCCTATGGCAGAAAAGGAAATATCTTCGTATAAAAACTACACAGAATCATTCTCAACAACTACTTTGTGATGTGTGCGTTCAACTCACAGAGTTTAACCTTTCTTTTCATAGAGCAGTTTGGAAACACTCTGTTTGTAAAGTCTGCAAGTGGATATTTGGACCTCTTTGAGGCCTTTGTTGGAAAAGGGATTTCTTCGTATAACGCTAGACAGAAGAATTCTCAGTCACTTCTTTGTGTTGTGTGTATTCAAGTCACAGAGTTGAACCTTCCTTTACACAGAGCAGTTTTGAAAAACTCTTTCTGTGGAATTTGCAAGTGGAGATTTCAAGCGATTTGAGGCTAATCTTTGAAATGGAAATATCTTCGTGTAAAAACTACACAGAATCATTGTCAGAAACTGCTTTGTTATGTGTGCGTTCAGCTCACAGAGTTCCACCTTTCTTTTCATAGAGCAGTTTGGAAAGACTCTGTCTGTAAAGTCTGCAAGTGATTACTTGGACCCCTTTGAGGACTTCGTTGGAAGCGGGATTTTTTCATTTACTGCTAGACAGAAGAATTCTCAGTAAATCCTTTGTGTTGTGTGTATTCAACTCACAGAGTGGAACCTTCCTTTATTCAGAGCAGTTTTGAAACACTCTTTTTGTGGAATTTGCAAGTGGAGATTTCAAGCGAATTGACGCCAATCTTAGACATGGAAACATCTTCGTATTAAAAGTACACAGAGTCATTCGCAGAAACTAGTTTGTCATGTGTGCCTTCAACTCACAGAGTTTAACCTTTCTTTTCATAGAGCAGTTTGGAAACACTCTATTTGTAAAGTCTGCAAGTGGATATTTGGACCTCTTTGAGGCCTTCGTTGGAAACGGGATTTCTTCATATAACGCTAGACAGAAGTATTCTCAGTAACTTCTTTGTGTTGTTTGTATTCAACTCACAGATTTGAAACTTCCTTTAGAGGGAGCAGATTTGAAACACTCTGTTTTTGGAATTTGCAAGTGCAGATTGCAAGCGCTTCTAGGCCTATGGCAGAAAAGGAAATATCTTCGTATAAAAACTACACAGAATCATTCTCAACAACTACTTTGTGATGTGTGCGTTCAACTCACAGAGTTTAACCTTTCTTTTCATAGAGCAGTTTGGAAACACTCTGTTTGTAAAGTCTGCAGGTGCTTATTTGGACTTCTTTGAGGCCTTCGTTGGAAACGGGATTTCTTCATGTAATGCTAGACAGAAGAATTCTCAGTCACTTCTTTGTGTTGTGTGTATTCAAGTCACAGAGTTGAACCTTCCTTTAGACAGAGCAGTTTTGAAAAATTCTTTCTGTGGAGTTTGCAAGTGGAGATTTCATGCGATTTGAGGCTAATCTTTGAAATGGAAATATCTTCGTGTAAAAACTACACAGAATCATTCTCAGAAACTGCTTTGTTATCTGTGCCTTCAGTTCACAGAGTTTCACCTTTCTCTTCATAGAGCAGTTTGGAAAGACTCTGTCTGTAAAGTCTGCAAGTGATTAGTTAGACCCCTTTGAGGCCTTCGTTGGAAGCGGGATTTCTCATTTACTGCTAGACAGAAGAATTCTCAGTAAATCCTTTGTGTTGTGTGTATTCAACTCACAGAGTGGAACCTTCCTTTATTCAGAGCAGTTTTGAAACACTCTTTTTGTGGAATTTGCAAGTGGAGATTTCAAGCGAATTCACGCCAATCTTAGACATGGAAACATCTTCGTATTAAAAGTACACAGAGTCATTCGCAGAAACTAGTTTGTGATGTGTGCCTTCAACTCACAGAGTTTAACTTTTCTTTTCATAGAGCAGTTTGGAAACACTTTGTTTGTAAGGTCTGCAAGTGGATATTTGGACCTCTTTGAGGCCTTCGTTGGAAACGGGATTTCTTCATACAACGCTAGACAGAAGAATTCTCAGTAACTTCTTTGTGTTGTGTGTATTCAACTCACAGAGTTGAACCTTTCTTTAGAGAGAGCAGAGTTGAAACACTCTGTTTTTGGAATTTGCAACTGCAGATTTCAAGCGATTTCTAGGCCTATGGCAGAAAAGGAAATATCTTCGTATAAAAACTACACAGAATCATTCTCAACAACTACTTTGTGATGTGTGCATTCAACTCACAAAGTTTAACCTTTCTTTTCATAGAACAGTTTGGAAACACTCTGTTTGTAAAGCCTGCAATTGCTTTTTTGGACTTCATTGAGGCCTTCGTTCGAAAGGGGATTTCTTCATATAATGCTAGACAGAAGAATTCTCAGTCATTTCTTTGTGTTGTGTGTATTCAAGTCACAGAGTTGAACCTTCCTTTAGACAGAGCAGTTTTGAAAAATTCTTTCTGTGGAGTTTGCAAGTGGAGATTTCAAGCGATTTGAGGCTAATCTTTGAAATGGAAATATCTTCGTGTAAAAACTACACAGAATCATTCTCAGAAACTGCTTTGTTATGTGTGCGTTCAGCTCACAGAGTTCCACCTTTCTTTTCATAGAGCAGTTTGGAAAGACTCTGTCTGTAAAGTCTGCAAGTGATTACTTGGACCCCTTTGAGGACTTCGTTGGAAGCGGGATTTTTTCATTTACTGCTAGACAGAAGAATTCTCAGTAAATCCTTTGTGTTGTGTGTATTCAACTCACAGAGTGGAACCTTCCTTTATTCAGAGGAGTTTTGAAACACTCTTTTTGTGGAATTTGCAAGTGGAGATTTCAAGCGAATTCACGCCAATCTTAGACATGGAAACATCTTCGTATTAAAAGTACACAGAGTCATTCGTAGAAACTAGTTTGTGATGTGTGCCTTCAACTCACAGAGTTTAACCTTTCTTTTCATAGAGCAGTTTGGAAACACTCTATTTGTAAAGTCTGCAAGTGGATATTTGGACCTCTTTGAGGCCTTCGTTGGAAATGGGATTTCTTCATATAACGCTAGACAGAAGAATTCTCAGTAACTTCTTTGTGTTGTGTGTATTCAACTCACAGAGTTGAACCTTTCTTTAGAGAGAGCAGAGTTGAAACACTCTGTTTTTGGAATTTGCAAGTGCAGATTTCAAGCGATTCTAGGCCTATGGCAGAAAAGGAAATATCTTCGTATAAAAACTACACAGAATCATTCTCAACAACTACTTTGTGATGTGTGCGTTCAACTCACAGAGTTTAACCTTTCTTTTCATAGAGCAGTTTGGAAACACTCTGTTTGTAAAGCCTGCAAGTGCTTTTTTGGACTTCATTGAGGCCTTCGTTGGAAACGGGATTTCTTCATATAATGCTAGACAGAAGAATTCTCAGTCACTTCTTTGTGTTGTGTGTATTCAAGTCACAGAGTTGAACCTTCCTTTAGACAGAGCAGTTTTGAAAAATTCTTTCTGTGTAATTTGCAAGTGGAGATTTCAAGCGATTTGAGGCTAATCTTTGAAATGGAAATATCTTCGTGTAAAAACTACACAGAATCATTCTCAGAAACTGCTTTGTCATCTGTGCGTTCAGTTCACAGAGTTTCACCTTTCTCTTCATAGAGCAGTTTGGAAACACTCTGTTTGTAAAGCCTGCAAGTGCTTTTTTGGACTTCATTGAGGCCTTCGTTGGAAACGGGATTTCTTCATACAACGCTAGACAGAAGAATTCTCAGTCACTTCTTTGTGTTGTGTGTATTCAAGTCACAGAGTTGAGCCTTCCTTTAGACAGAGCAGTTTTGAAAAATTCTTTCTGTGGAGTTTGCAAGTGGAGATTTCAAGCGATTTGAGGCTAATCTTTGAAATGGAAATATCTTCGTGTAAAAACTACACAGAATCATTCTCAGAAACTGCTTTGCCATCTGTGCGTTCAGTTCACAGAGTTTCACCTTTCTCTTCATAGAGCAGTTTGGAAAGACTCTGTCTGTAAAGTCTGCAAGTGATTAGTTAGACCCCTTTGAGGCCTTCGTTGGAAGCGGGATTTCTCATTTACTGCTAGACAGAAGAATTCTCAGTAAATCCTTTGTGTTGTGTGTATTCAACTCACAGAGTGGAACCTTCCTTTATTCAGAGCAGTTTTGAAAAACACTTTTTGTGGAATTTGCAAGTGGAGATTTCAAGCGATTTGACGCCAATCTTAGACATGGAAATATCTTCATATTAAAAGTACACAGAGTCATTCGTAGAAACTAGTTTGTGATGTGTGCCTTCAACTCACAGAGTTTAACCTTTCTTTTCATAGAGCAGTTTGGAAACACTCTATTTGTAAAGTCTGCAAGTGGATATTTGGACCTCTTTGAGGCCTTCGTTGGAAATGGGATTTCTTCATACAACACTAGACAGAAGAATTCTCAGTAACTTCTTTGTGTTGTGTGTATTCAACTCACAGAGTTGAACCTTTCTTTAGAGAGAGCAGAGTTGAAACACTCTGTTTTTGGAATTTGCAACTGCAGATTTCAAGCGATTCTAGGCCTATGGCAGAAAAGGAAATATCTTCGTATAAAAACTACACAGAATCATTCTCAGAAAACTCTTTGTGATGTGTGTGTTCAACTCACAGAGTTTAACCTTTCTTTAATCGAGCAGTTTGGAAATACACTCTTTGTAAGTCTGCAGGTGGATATTTGGCCCTCTTTGAGCCCTTCGTTGGAAACGGGATTTCCTCATATAATGCTAGACAGAAGAATTCTCAGTAACTTCTTTGTGTTGTTTGTATTCAACACACAGATTTGAACCTTCCTTTAGAGAGAGCAGATTTGAAACACTCTGTTTTTGGAATTTGCAAGTGCAGATTTCAAGCGCTTCTAGGCCTATGGCAGAAAAGGAAATATCTTCGTATAAAAACTACACAGAATCATTCTCAACAACTACTTTGTGATGTGTGCGTTCAACTCACAGAGGTTAACCTTTCTTTTCATAGAGCAGTTTGGAAACACTCTGTTTGTAAAGCCTGCAAGTGCTTTTTTGGACTTCATTGAGGCCTTCGTTGGAAACGAGATTTCTTCATATAATGCTAGACAGAAGAATTCTCAGTCACTTCTTTGTGTTGTGTGTATTCAAGTCACAGAGTTGAACCTTCCTTTAGACAGAGCAGTTTTGAAAAATTCTTTCTGTGGAGTTTGCAAGTGGAGATTTCAAGCGATTTGAGGCTAATCTTTGAAATGGAAATATCTTCGTGTAAAAACTACACAGAATCATTCTCAGAAACTGCTTTGTCATCTGTGCGTTCAGTTCACAGAGTTTCACCTTTCTCTTCATAGAGCAGTTTGGAAAGACTCTGTCTGTAAGTCTGCAAGTGATTAGTTAGACCCCTTTGAGGCCTTCGTTGGAAGCGGGATTTCTCATTTACTGCTAGACAGAAGAATTCTCAGTAAATCCTTTGTGTTGTGTGTATTCAACTCACAGAGTGGAACCTTCCTTTATTCAGAGCAGTTTTGAAACACTCTTTTTGTGGAATTTGCAAGTGGAGATTTCAAGCGATTTGACGCCAATCTTAGACATGGAAATATCTTCATATTAAAAGTACACAGAATCATTCGTAGAAACTAGTTTGTGATGTGTGCCTTCAACTCACAGAGTTTAACCTTTCTTTTCATAGAGCAGTTCGGAAACACTCTATTTGTAAAGTCTGCAAGTGGATATTTGGACCTCTTTGAGGCCTTCGTTGGAAAAGGGATTTCTTCATATAACGCTAGACAGAAGAATTCTCAGTAACTTCTTTGTGTTGTGTGTATTCAACTCACAGAGTTGAACCTTTCTTTAGAGAGAGCAGAGTTGAAACACTCTTTTTGTGGAATTTGCTAGTGCAGATTTCAAACGCTTTGAAGACAGTGATAGCAAAGGATATATCTTCGTATTAAAACTAGACAAAATCATTCTCAACAACTACTTTGTGATGTGTGCGTTCAACTCACAAAGTTTAACCTTTCTTTTCATAGAGAAGTTTGGAAACACTCTGTTTGTAAAGCCTGCAAGTGCTTTTTTGGACTTCATTGAGGCCTTCGTTGGAAAAGGGATTTCTTCATATAATGCTAGACAGAAGAATTCTCAGTAAATCCTTTGTGTTGTGTGTATTCAACTCACAGAGTGGAACCTTCCTTTATTCAGAGCAGTTTTGAAACACTCTTTTTGTGGAATTTGCAAGTGGAGATTTCAAGCGATTTGACGCCAATCTTAGACATGGAAATATCTTCATATTAAAAGTACACAGAATCATTCGTAGAAACTAGTTTGTGATGTGTGCCTTCAACTCACAGAGTTTAACCTTTCTTTTCATAGAGCAGTTCGGAAACACTCTATTTGTAAAGTCTGCAAGTGGATATTTGGACCTCTTTGAGGCCTTCGTTGGAAAAGGGATTTCTTCATATAACGCTAGACAGAAGAATTCTCAGTAACTTCTTTGTGTTGTTTGTATTCAACACACAGATTTGAACCTTCCTTTAGAGAGAGCAGATTTGAAACACTCTGTTTTTGGAATTTGCAAGTGCAGATTTCAAGCGCTTCTAGGCCTATGGCAGAAAAGGAAATATCTTCGTATAAAAACTACACAGAATCATTCTCAACAACTACTTTGTGATGTGTGCGTTCAACTCACAAAGTTTAACCTTTCTTTTCATAGAGCAGTTTGGAAACACTCTGTTTGTAAAGCCTGCAAGTGCTTTTTTGGACTTCATTGAGGCCTTCGTTGGAAACGGGATTTCTTCATATAATCCTAGACAGAAGAATTCTCAGTCACTTCTTTGTGTTGTGTGTATTCAAGTCACAGAGTTGAACCTTCCTTTAGACAGAGCAGTTTTGAAAAATTCTTTCTGTGGAGTTTGCAAGTGGAGATTTCAAGCGATTTGAGGCTAATCTTTGAAATGGAAATATCTTCGTGTAAAAACTACACAGAATCATTCTCAGAAACTGCTTTGTCATCTGTGCGTTCAGTTCACAGAGTTTCACCTTTCTCTTCATAGAGCAGTTTGGAAAGACTCTGTCTGTAAAGTCTGCAAGTGATTAGTTAGACCCCTTTGAGGCCTTCGTTGGAAGCGGGATTTCTCATTTACTGCTAGACAGAAGAATTCTCAGTAAATCCTTTGTGTTGTGTGTATTCAACTCACAGAGTGGAACCTTCCTTTATTCAGAGCAGTTTTGAAAAACACTTTTTGTGGAATTTGCAAGTGGAGATTTCAAGCGATTTGACGCCAATCTTAGACATGGAAATGTCTTCATATTAAAAGTACACAGAGTCATTCGTAGAAACTAGTTTGTGATGTGTGCCTTCAACTCACAGAGTTTAACCTTTCTTTTCATAGAGCAGTTTGGAAACACTCTATTTGTAAAGTCTGCAAGTGGATATTTGGACCTCTTTGAGGCCTTCGTTGGAAATGGGATTTCTTCATACAACACTAGACAGAAGAATTCTCAGTAACTTCTTTGTGTTGTGTGTATTCAACTCACAGAGTTGAACCTTTCTTTAGAGAGAGCAGAGTTGAAACACTCTGTTTTTGGAATTTGCAAGTGCAGATTTCAAGCGATTCTAGGCCTATGGCAGAAAAGGAAATATCTTCGTATAAAAACTACACAGAATCATTCTCAACAACTACTTTGTGATGTGTGCGTTCAACTCACAGAGTTTAACCTTTCTTTTCATAGAGCAGTTTGGAAACACTCTGTTTGTAAAGCCTGCAAGTGCTTTTTTGGACTTCATTGAGGCCTTCGTTGGAAACGGGATTTCTTCATATAATGCTAGACAGAAGAATTCTCAGTCACTTCTTTGTGTTGTTTGTATTGAAGTCACAGAGTTGAACCTTCCTTTAGACAGAGCAGTTTTGAAAAATTCTTTCTGTGGAATTTGCAAGTGGAGATTTCAAGCGATTTGAGGCTAATCTTTGAAATGGAAATATCTTCGTATAAAAACTACACAGAATCATTCTCAACAACTACTTTGTGATGTGTGCGTTCAACTCACAAAGTTTAACCTTTCTTTTCATAGAGAAGTATGGAAACACTCTGTTTGTAAAGCCTGCAAGTGCTTTTTTGGACTTCATTGAGGCCTTCGTTGGAAACGGGATTTCTTCATATAATGCTAGACAGAAGAATTCTCAGTCACTTATTTGTGTTGTGTGTATTCAAGTCACAGTAGTTGAACCTTCCTTTAGACAGAGTAGTTTTGAAAAATTCTTTCTGTGGAGTTTGCAAGTGGAGATTTCAAGCGATTTGAGGCTAATCTTTGAAATGGAATTATCTTCGTGTAAAAACTATACAGAATCATTCTCAGAAACTGCTTTGTCATCTGTGCGTTCAGTTCACAGAGTTTCACCTTTCTCTTCATAGAGCAGTTTGGAAAGACTCTGTCTGTAAAGTCTGCAAGTGATTAGTTAGACCCCTTTGAGGCCTTCGTTGGAAGCGGGATTTCTCATTTACTGCTAGACAGAAGAATTCTCAGTAAATCCTTTGTGTTGTGTGTATTCAACTCACAGAGTGGAACCTTCCTTTATTCAGAGCAGTTTTGAAACACTCTTTTTGTGGATTTTGCAAGTGGAGATTTCAAGCGATTTGACGCCAATCTTAGACATGGAAATATCTTCATATTAAAAGTACACAGAGTCATTCGTAGAAACTAGTTTGTGATGTGTGCCTTCAACTCACAGAGTTTAACCTTTCTTTTCATAGAGCAGTTTGGAAACACTCTATTTGTAAAGTCTGCAAGTGGATATTTGGACCTCTTTGAGGCCTTCGTTGGAAACGGGATTTCTTCATATAACGCTAGACAGAAAAAATTCTCAGTAACTTCTTTGTGTTGTTTGTATTCAACACACAGATTTGAACCTTCCTTTAGAGAGAGCAGATTTGAAACACTCTGTTTTTGGAATTTGCAAGTGCAGATTTCAAGCGCTTCTAGGCCTATGGCAGAAAAGGAAATATCTTCGTATAAAAACTACACAGAATCATTCTCAACAACTACTTTGTGATGTGTGCGTTCAACTCACAGAGTTTAACCTTTCTTTTCATAGAGCAGTTTGGAAACACTCTGTTTGTAAAGCCTGCAAGTGCTTTTTTGGACTTCATTGAGGCCTTCGTTGGAAACGGGATTTCTTCATATAATGCTAGACAGAAGAATTCTCAGTCACTTCTTTGTGTTGTGTGTATTCAAGTCACAGAGTTGAACCTTCCTTTAGGCAGAGCAGTTTTGAAAAATTCTTTCTGTGGAGTTTGCAAGTGGAGATTTCAAGCGATTTGAGGCTAATCTTTGAAATGGAAATATCTTCGTGTAAAAACTACACAGAATCATTCTCAGAAACTGCTTTGTCATCTGTGCGTTCAGTTCACAGAGTTTCACCTTTCTCTTCATAGAGCAGTTTGGAAAGACTCTGTCTGTAAAGTCTGCAAGTGATTAGTTAGACCCCTTTGAGGCCTTCGTTGGAAGCGGGATTTCTCATTTACTGCTAGACAGAAGAATTCTCAGTAAATCCTTTGTGTTGTGTGTATTCAACTCACAGAGTGGAACCTTCCTTTATTCAGAGCAGTTTTGAAAAACACTTTTTGTGGAATTTGCAAGTGGAGATTTCAAGCGATTTGACGCCAATCTTAGACATGGAAATATCTTCATATTAAAAGTACACAGAGTCATTCGTAGAAACTAGTTTGTGATGTGTGCCTTCAACTCACAGAGTTTAACCTTTCTTTTCATAGAGCAGTTTGGAAACACTATTTGTAAAGTCTGCAAGTGGATATTTGGACCTCTTTGAGGCCTTCGTTGGAAACGGGATTTCTTCATACAACGCTAGACAGAAGAATTCTCAGTAACTTCTTTGTGTTGTTTGTATTCAACTCACAGATTTGAACCTTCCTTTAGAGAGAGCAGATTTGAAACACTCTGTTTTTGGAATTTGCAAGTGCAGATTTCAAGCGCTTCTAGGCCTATGGCAGAAAAGGAAATATCTTCGTATAAAAACTACACAGAATCATTCTCAACAACTACTTTGTGATGTGTGCGTTCAACTCACAGAGTTTAACCTTTCTTTTCATAGAGCAGTTTGGAAACACTCTGTTTGTAAAGTCTGCAGGTGCTTATTTGGACTTCTTTGAGGCCTTCGTTGGAAACGGGATTTCTTCATATAATGCTAGACAGAAGAATTCTCAGTCACTTCTTTGTGTTGTGTGTATTCAAGTCACAGAGTTGAACCTTCCTTTACACAGAGCAGTTTTGAAAAACTCTTTCTGTGGAATTTGCAAGTGGAGATTTCAAGCGATTTGAGGCTAATCTTTGAAATGGAAATATCTTCGTTTAAAAACTACACAGAATCATTCTCAGAAACTGCTTTGTTATGTGTGCGTTCAGCTCACAGAGTTCCACCTTTCTTTTCATAGAGCAGTTTGGAAAGACTCTGTCTGTAAAGTCTGCAAGTGATTACTTGGACCCCATTGAGGACTTCGTTGGAAGCGGGATTTTTTCATTTACTGCCAGACAGAAGAATTCTCAGTAAATCCTTTGTGTTGTGTGTATTCAACTCACAGAGTGGAACCTTCCTTTATTCAGAGCACTTTTGAAACACTCTTTTTGTGGAAATTGCAAGTGGAGATTTCAAGCGAATTCACGCCAATCTTAGACATGGAAACATACTTCGTATTAAAAGTACACAGAATCATTGTCAGAAAACACTTTGTGATGTGTGTGTTCAACTCACAGAGTTTAACCTTTCTTTAATCGAGCAGTTTGGAAATACACTCTTTGTAAGTCTGCAGCTGGATAATTGTCCCTCTATGAGCCCTTCGTTGGAAACAGGATTTCCTCTTATAATGCTAGACAGAAGAATTCTCAGTAACTTCTCTGTGTTGTTTGTATTCAACACACAGATTTGAACCTTCCTTTAGAGAGAGCAGATTTGAAACACTCTGTTTTTGGAATTTGCAAGTGCAGATTTCAAGCACTTCTAGGCCTATGGCAGAAAAGGAAATATCTTCGTATAAAAACTACACAGAATCATTCTCAACAACTACTTTGTGATGTGTGCGTTCAACTCACAGAGTTTAACCTTTCTTTTCATAGAGCAGTTTGGAAACACTCTGTTTGTAAAGTCTGCAGGTGCTTATTTGGACTTCTTTGAGGCCTTCGTTGGAAACGGGATTTCTTCATATAATGCTAGACAGAAGAATTCTCAGTCACTTCTTTGTGTTGTGTGTATTCAAGTCACAGAGTTGAACCTTCCTTTACACAGAGCAGTTTTGAAAAACTCTTTCTGTGGAATTTGCAAGTGGAGATGTCAAGCGATTTGAGGCTAATCTTTGAAATGGAAATATCTTCGTGTAAAAACTACACAGAATCATTCTCAGAAACTGCTTTGTTATGTGTGCGTTCAGCTCACAGAGTTCCACCTTTCTTTTCATAGAGCAGTTTGGAAAGACTCTGTCTGTAAAGTCTGCAAGTGATTACTTGGACCCCTTTGAGGACTTCGTTGGAAGCGGGATTTTTTCATTTACTGCTAGACAGAAGAATTCTCAGTAAATCCTTTGTGTTGTGTGTATTCAACTCACAGAGTGGAACCTTCCTTTATTCAGAGCACTTTTGAAACACTCTTTTTGTGGAATTTGCAAGTGGAGATTTCAAGCGAATTCACGCCAATCTTAGACATGGAAACATCTTCGTATTGAAAGTACACAGAGTCATTCGCAGAAACTAGTTTGTGATGTGTGCCTTCAACTCACGGAGTTTAACCTTTCTTTTCATAGAGCAGTTTGGAAACACTCTATTTGTAAAGTCTGCAAGTGGATATTTGGACCTCTTTGAGGCCTTCGTTGGAAACGGGATTTCTTCATATAACGCTAGACAGAAGAATTCTCAGTAACTTCTTTGTGTTGTGTGTATTCCACTCACAGAGTTGAACCTTTCTTGAGAGAGAGCAGAGTTGAAACACTCTTTCTGTGGAATTTGCTAGTGCAGATTTCAAACGCTTCGAAGACAGTGATAGAAAAGGATATATCTTCGTATTAAAACTAGACAAAATCATTCTCAGAAAACACTTTGTGATGTGTGTGTTCAACTCACAGAGTTTAACCTTTCTTTAATCGAGCAGTTTGGAAATACACTCTTTGTAAGTCTGCAGGTGGATAATTGTCCCTCTATGAGCCCTTCGTTGGAAACGGGATTTCCTCATATAATGCTAGACAGAAGAATTCTCAGTCACTTCTTTGTGTTGTGTGTATTCAAGTCACAGAGTTGAACCTTCCTTTACACAGAGCAGTTTTGAAAAACTCTTTCTGTGGAATTTGCAAGTGGAGATTTCAAGCGATTTGAGGCTAATCTTTGAAATGGAAATAGCTTCGTGTAAAAACTACACAGAATCATTCTCAGAAACTGCTTTGTCATCTGTGCGTTCAGTTCACAGAGTTTCACCTTTCTCTTCATAGAGCAGTTTGGAAAGACTCTGTCTGTAAAGTCTGCAAGTGATTAGTTAGACCCCTTTGAGGCCTTCGTTGGAAGCGGGATTTCTCATTTACTGCTAGACAGAAGAATTCTCAGTAAATCCTTTGTGTTGTGTGTATTCAACTCACAGAGTGGAACCTTCCTTTATTCAGAGCAGTTTTGAAACACTCTTTTTGTGGATTTTGCAAGTGGAGATTTCAAGCGATTTGACGCCAATCTTAGACATGGAAATATCTTCATATTAAAAGTACACAGAGTCATTCGCAGAAACTAGTTTGTGATGTGTGCCTTCAACTCACGGAGTTTAACCTTTCTTTTCATAGAGCAGTTTGGAAACACTCTATTTGTAAAGTCTGCAAGTGGATATTTGGACCTCTTTGAGGCCTTCGTTGGAAACGGGATTTCTTCATATAACGCTAGACAGAAGAATTCTCAGTAAGTTCCTTGTATTGTTTGTATTCAACTCACAGATTTGAACTTTCCTTTAGAGAGAGCAGATTTGAAATACTCTGTTTTTGGAATTTGCAAGTGCAGATTGCAAGCGCTTCTAGGCCTATGGCAGAAAAGGAAATATCTTCGTATAAAAACTACACAGAATCATTCTCAACAACTACTTTGTGATGTGTGCGTTCAACTCACAGAGTTTAACTTTTCTTTTCATAGAGCAGTTTGGAAACACTCTGTTTGTAAAGTCTGCAGGTGCTTATTTGGACTTCTTTGAGGCCTTCGTTGGAAACGGGATTTCTTCATATAATGCTAGACAGAAGAATTCTCAGTCACTTCTTTGTGTTGTGTGTATTCAAGTCACAGAGTTGAACCTTCCTTTACACAGAGCAGTTTTGAAAAACTCTTTCTGTGGAATTTGCAAGTGGAGATTTCAAGCGATTTGAGGCTAATCTTTGAAATGGAAATAGCTTCGTGTAAAAACTACACAGAATCATTCTCAGAAACTGCTTTGTCATCTGTGCGTTCAGTTCACAGAGTTTCACCTTTCTCTTCATAGAGCAGTTTGGAAAGACTCTGTCTGTAAAGTCTGCAAGTGATTAGTTAGACCCCTTTGAGGCCTTCGTTGGAAGCGGGATTTCTCATTTACTGCTAGACAGAAGAATTCTCAGTAAATCCTTTGTGTTGTGTGTATTCAACTCACAGAGTGGAACCTTCCTTTATTCAGAGCAGTTTTGAAACACTGTTTTTGTGGAATTTGCAAGTGGAGATTTCAAGCGATTTGACGCCAATCTTAGACATGGAAATATCTTCATATTAAAAGTACACAGAGTCATTCGTAGAAACTAGTTTGTGATGTGTGCCTTCAACTCACAGAGTTTAACCTTTCTTTTCATAGAGCAGTTCGGAAACACTCTATTTGTAAAGTCTGCAAGTGGATATTTGGACCTCTTTGAGGCCTTCGTTGGAAACGGGATTTCTTCATATAACGCTAGACAGAAGAATTCTCAGTAACTTCTTTGTGTTGTGTGTATTCAACTCACAGAGTTGAACCTTTCTTTAGAGAGAGCAGAGTTGAAACACTCTTTTTGTGGAATTTGCTAGTGCAGATTTCAAACGCTTCGAAGACAGTGATAGAAAAGGATATATCTTCGTATTAAAACTAGACAAAATCATTCTCAACAACTACTTTGTGATGTGTGCGTTCAACTCACAGAGTTTAACCTTTCTTTTCATAGAGCAGTTTGGAAACACTCTGTTTGTAAAGTCTGCAGGTGCTTATTTGGACTTCTTTGAGGCCTTCGTTGGAAACGGGATTTCTTCATATAATGCTAGACAGAAGAATTCTCAGTCACTTCTTTGTGTTGTGTGTATTCAAGTCACAGAGTTGAACCTTCCTTTACACAGAGCAGTTTTGAAAAACTCTTTCTGTGGAATTTGCAAGTGGAGATTTCAAGCGATTTGAGGCTAATCTTTGAAATGGAAATAGCTTCGTGTAAAAACTACACAGAATCATTGTCAGAAACTGCTTTGTTATGTGTGCGTTCAGCTCACAGAGTTCCACCTTTCTTTTCATAGAGCAGTTTGGAAAGACTCTGTCTGTAAAGTCTGCAAGTGATTACTTGGACCCCTTTGAGGACTTCGTTGGAAGCGGGATTTTTTCATTTACTGCTAGACAGAAGAATTCTCAGTAAATCCTTTGTGTTGTGTGTATTCAACTCACAGAGTGGAACCTTCCTTTATTCAGAGCAGTTTTGAAACACTCTTTTTGTGGAATTTGCAAGTGGAGATTTCAAGCGAATTCACGCCAATCTTAGACATGGAAACAACTTCGTATTAAAAGTACACAGAGTCATTCGCAGAAACTAGTTTGTGATGTGTGCCTTCAACTCACAGAGTTTAACCTTTCTTTTCATAGAGCAGTTTGGAAACACTCTATTTGTAAAGTCTGCAAGTGGATATTTGGACCTCTTTGAGGCCTTCGTTGGAAACGGGATTTCTTCATATAACGCTAGACAGAAGAATTCTCAGTAACTTCTTTGTGTTGTGTGTATTCAACTCACAGAGTTGAACCTTTCTTGAGAGAGAGCAGAGTGGAAACACTCTTTTTGTGGAATTTGCTAGTGCAGATTTCAAACGCTTCGAAGACAGTGATAGAAAAGGATATATCTTCGTATTAAAACTAGACAAAATCATTCTCAACAACTACTTTGTGATGTGTGCGTTCAAGTCACAGAGTTTAACCTTTCTTTTCATAGAGCAGTTTGGAAACACTCTGTTTGTAAAGCCTGCAAGTGCTTTTTTGGACTTCATTGAGGCCTTCGTTGGAAACGGGATTTCTTCATACAACGCTAGACAGAAGAATTCTCAGTCACTTCTTTGTGTTGTGTGTATTCAAGTCAGAGAGTTGAACCTTCCTTTAGACAGAGCAGTTTTGAAAAATTCTTTCTGTGGAGTTTGCAAGTGGAGATTTCAAGAGATTTGAGGCTAATCTTTGAAATGGAAATATCTTCGTGTAAAAACTACACAGAATCATTCTCAGAAACTGCTTTGTCATCTGTGCGTTCAGTTCACAGAGTTTCACCTTTCTCTTCATAGAGCAGTTTGGAAAGACTCTGTCTGTAAAGTCTGCAAGTGATTAGTTAGACCCCTTTGAGGCCTTCGTTGGAAGCGGGATTTCTCATTTACTGCTAGACAGAAGAATTCTCAGTAAATCCTTTGTGTTGTGTGTATTCAACTCACAGAGTGGAACCTTCCTTTATTCAGAGTAGTTTTGAAACACTCTTTTTGTGGAATTTGCAAGTGGAGATTTCAAGCGATTTGACGCCAATCTTAGACATGGAAATATCTTCATATTAAAAGTACACAGAGTCATTCGTAGAAACTAGTTTGTGATGTGTGCCTTCAACTCACAGAGTTTAACCTTTCTTTTCATAGAGCAGTTTGGAAACACTCTATTTGTAAAGTCTGCAAGTGGATATTTGGACCTCTTTGAGGCCTTCGTTGGAAACGGGATTTCTTCATACAACGCTAGACAGAAGAATTCTCAGTAACTTCTTTGTGTTGTGTGTATTCAACTCACAGAGTTGAACCTTTCTTTAGAGAGAGCAGAGTTGAAACACTCTGTTTTTGGAATTTGCAAGTGCAGATTTCAAGCGCTTCTCGGCCTATGGCAGAAAAGGAAATATCTTCGTATAAAAACTACACAGAATCATTCTCAACAACTACTTTGTAATGTGTGCGTTCAACTCACAGAGTTTAACCTTTCTTTTCATAGAGCAGTTTGGAAACACTCTGTTTGTAAAGCCTGCAAGTGCTTTTTTGGACTTCATTGAGGCCTTCGTTGGAAACGGGAGTTCTTCATATAAAGCTAGACAGAAGAATTCTCAGTCACTTCTTTGTGTTGTGGTATTCAACTCACAGAGTTGAAACTTCCTTTAGACAGAGCAGTTTTGAAAAACTGTTTCTGTGGAATTTGCAAGTGGAGATTTCAAGCGATTTGAGGCTAATCTTTGAAATGGAAATATCTTCGTGTAAAAACTACACAGAATCATTCTCAGAAACTGCTTTGTTATCTGTGCTTACAGTTCACAGAGTTTCACATTTCTCTTCATAGAGCAGTTTGGAAAGACTCTTTCTGTAAAGTCTGCAAGTGATTAGTTAGACCCCTTTGAGGCCTTCGTTGGAAGCGGGATTTCTCATTTACTACTAGACAGAAGAATTCTCAGTAAATCCTTTGTGTTGTGTGTATTCAACTCACAGAGTGGAACCTTCCTTTATTCAGAGCAGTTTTGAAACACTCTTTTTGTGGAATTTGCAAGTGGAGATTTCAAGCGATTTGACGCCAATCTTAGACATGGAAATATCTTCATATTAAAAGTACACAGAGTCATTCGTAGAAACTAGTTTGTGATGTGTGCCTTCAACTCACAGAGTTTAACCTTTCTTTTCATAGAGCAGTTCGGAAACATTCTATTTGTAAAGTCTGCAAGTGGATATTTGGACCTCTTTGAGGCCTTCGTTGGAAACGGGATTTCTTCATATAACGCTTGACAGAAGAATTCTCAGTAACTTCTTTGTGTTGTTTGTATTCAACTCACAGATTTGAACCTTCCTTTAGAGAGAACAGATTTGAAACACTCTGTTTTTGGAATTTGCAAGTGCAGATTTCAAGCGCTTCTAGGCCTATGGCAGAAAAGGAAATATCTTCGTATAAAAACTACACAGAATCATTCTCAACAACTACTTTGTGATGTGTGCGTTCAACTCACAGAGTTTAACCTTTCTTTTCATAGAGCAGTTTGGAAACACTCTGTTTGTAAAGCCTGCAAGTGCTTTTTTGGACTTCATTGAGGCCTCGTTGGAAACGGGATTTCTTCATATAATGCTAGACAGAAGAATTCTCAGTCACTTCTTTGTGTTGTGTGTATTCAAGTCACAGAGTTGAACCTTCCTTTAGACAGAGCAGTTTTGAAAAATTCTTTCTGTGGAATTTGCAATTGGAGATTTTAAGCGATTTGAGGCTAATCTTTGAAATGGAAATATCTTCGTGTAAAAACTACACAGAAATCATTCTCAGCAAACTGCTTTGTCATCTGTGCGTTCAGTTCACAGAGTTTCACCTTTCTCTTCATAGAGCAGTTTGGAAAGACTCTGTCTGTAAAGTCTGCAAGTGATTAGTTAGACCCCTTTGAGGCCTTCGTTGGAAGCGGGATTTCTCATTTACTGCTAGACAGAAGAATTCTCAGTAAATCCTTTGTGTTGTGTGTATTCAACTCACAGAGTGGAACCTTCCTTTATTCAGAGAAGTTTTGAAACACTCTTTTTGTGGAATTTGCAAGTGGAGATTTCAAGAGATTTGACGGCAATCTTAGACATGGAAATATCTTCATATTAAAAGTACACAGAGTCATTCGTAGAAACTAGTTTGTGATGTGTGCCTTCAACTCACAGAGTTTAACCTTTCTTTTCATAGAGCAGTTTGGAAACACTCTATTTGTAAAGTCTGCAAGTGGATATTTGGACCTCTTTGAGGCCTTCGTTGGAAACGGGATTTCTTCATACAACGCTAGACAGAAGAATTCTCAGTAACTTCTTTGTGTTGTGTGTATTCAACTCACAGAGTTGAACCTTTCTTTAGAGAGAGCAGAGTTGAAACACTCTGTTTTTGGAATTTGCAAGTGCAGATTTCAAGCGATTCTAGGCCTATGGCAGAAAAGGAAATATCTTCGTATAAAAACTACACAGAATCATTCTCAACAACTACTTTGTGATGTGTGCGTTCAACTCACAGAGTTTAACCTTTCTTTTCATAGAGCAGTTTGGAAACACTCTGTTTGTAAAGTCTGCAGGTGCTTATTTGGACTTCTTTGAGGCCTTCGTTGGAAACGGGATTTCTTCATATAATGCTAGACAGAAGAATTCTCAGTAACTTCTTTGTGTTGTGTGTATTCAACTCACAGAGTTGAACCTTTCTTTAGAGAGAGCAGAGTTGAAACACTCTGTTTTTGGAATTTGCAAGTGCAGATTTCAAGCGATTCTAGGCCTATGGCAGGAAAGGAAATATCTTCATATAAAAACTACACAGAATCATTCTCAACAACTACTTTGTGATGTGTGCGTTCAACTCACAAAGTTTAACCTTTCTTTTCATAGAGCAGTTTGGAAACACGCTGTTTTTAAAGCCTGCAAGTGCTTTTTTGGACTTCATTGAGGCCTTCGTTGGAAACGGGATTTCTTCATATAATGCTAGACAGAAGAATTCTCAGTAAATCATTTGTGTTGCGTTTATTCAACTCACAGAGTGGAACCTTCCTTTATTCAGAGCAGTTTTGAAACACTCTTTTTGTGGAATTTGCAAGTGGAGATTTCAAGCGATTTGACGCCAATCTTAGACATGGAAATATCTTCATATTAAAAGTACACAGAGTCATTCGTAGAAACTAGTTTGTGATGTGTGCCTTCAACTCACAGAGTTTAACCTTTCTTTTCATAGAGCAGTTGGGAAACACTCTATTTGTAAAGTCTGCAAGTGGATATTTGGACCTCTTTGAGGCCTTCGTTGGAAACGGGATTTCTTCATATAACGCTAGACAGAAGAATTCTCAGTAACTTCTTTGTGTTGTGTGTATTCAACTCATAGAGTTGAACCTTTCTTTAGAGGGAGCAGAGGTGAAACACTCTTTTTGTGGAATTTGCTAGTGTAGATTTCAAACGCTTCGCAGACAGTGATAGAAAAGGATATATCTTCGTATTAAAAGTACACAAAATCATTCTCAGAAAACTCTTTGTGATGTGTGTGTTCAACTCACAGAGTTTAACCTTTCTTTAATCGAGCAGTTTGGAAATACACTCTTTGTAAGTCTGCAGGTGGATATTTGGCCCTCTTTGAGCCCTTCGTTGGAAACGGGATTTCCTCATATAATGCTAGACAGAAGAATTCTCAGTCACTTCTTTGTGTTGTGTGTATTCAAGTCACAGAGTTGAACCTTCCTTTACACAGAGCAGTTTTGAAAAACTCTTTCTGTGGAATTTGCAAGTGGAGATTTCAAGCGATTTGAGGCTAATCTTTGAAATGGAAATATCTTCGTGTAAAAACTACACAGAATCATTGTCAGAAACTGCTTTGTTATGTGTGCGTTCAGCTCACAGAGTTCCACCTTTGTTTTCATAGAGCAGTTTGGAAAGACTCTGTCTGTAAAGTCTGCAAGTGATTACTTGGACCCCTTTGAGGACTTCGTTGGAAGCGGGATTTTTTCATTTACTGCTAGACAGAAGAATTCTCAGTAAATCCTTTGTGTTGTGTGTATTCAACTCACAGAGTGGAACCTTCCTTTATTCAGAGCAGTTTTGAAACACTCTTTTTGTGGAATTTGCAAGTGGAGATTTCAAGCGAATTCACGCCAATCTTAGACATGGAAACATCTTCGTATTAAAAGTACACAGAGTCATTCGCAGAAACTAGTTTGTGATGTGTGCCTTCAACTCACAGAGTTTAACCTTTCTTTTCATAGAGCAGTTTGGAAACACTCTGTTTGTAAAGTCTGCAGGTGCTTATTTGGACTTCTTTGAGGCCTTCGTTGGAAACGGGATTTCTTCATATAATGCTAGACAGAAGAATTCTCAGTAACTTCTTTGTGTTGTTTGTATTCAACACACAGATTTGAACCTTCCTTTAGAGAGAGCAGATTTGAAACACTCTGTTTTTGGAATTTGCAAGTGCAGATTTCAAGCGCTTCTAGGCCTATGGCAGAAAAGGAAATATCTTCGTATAAAAACTACACAGAATCATTCTCAACAACTACTTTGTGATGTGTGCGTTCAACTCACAGAGTTTAACCTTTCTTTTCATAGAGCAGTTTGGAAACACTCTGTTTGTAAAGCCTGCAAGTGCTTTTATGGACTTCATTGAGGCCTTCGTTGGAAACGGGATTTCTTCATATAATGCTAGACAGAAGAATTCTCAGTCACTTCTTTGTGTTGTGTGTATTCAAGTCACAGAGTTGAACCTTCCTTTAGACAGAGCAGTTTTGAAAAATTCTTTCTGTGGAGTTTGCAAGTGGAGATTTCAAGCGATTTGAGGCTAATCTTTGAAATGGAAATATCTTCGTGTAAAAACTACACAGAATCATTCTCAGAAACTGCTTTGTCATCTGTGCGTTCAGTTCACAGAGTTTCACCTTTCTCTTCATAGAGCAGTTTGGAAAGACTCTGTCTGTAAGTCTGCAAGTGATTAGTTAGACCCCTTTGAGGCCTTCGTTGGAAGCGGGATTTCTCATTTACTGCTAGACAGAAGAATTCTCAGTAAATCCTTTGTGTTGTGTGTATTCAACTCACAGAGTGGAACCTTCCTTTATTCAGAGCAGTTTTGAAACACTCTTTTTGTGGAATTTGCAAGTGGAGATTTCAAGCGAATTCACGCCAATCTTAGACATGGAAACATCTTCGTATTAAAAGTACACAGAGTCATTCGCAGAAACTAGTTTGTGATGTGTGCCTTCAACTCACAGAGTTTAACCTTTCTTTTCATAGAGCAGTTTGGAAACACTCTATTTGTAAAGTCTGCAAGTGGATATTTGGGACCTCTTTGAGGCCTTCGTTGGAAACGGGATTTCTTCATATAACGCTAGACAGAAGAATTCTCAGTAACTTCTTTGTGTTGTTTGTATTCAACTCACAGATTTGAACCTTCCTTTAGAGAGAGCAGATTTGAAACACTCTGTTTTTGGAATTTGCAAGTGCAGATTACAAGCGCTTCTAGGCCTATGGCAGAAAAGGAAATATCTTCATATAAAAACTACACAGAATCATTCTCAACAACTACTTTGTGATGTGTGCGTTCAACTCACAGAGTTTAACCTTTCTTTTCATAGAGCAGTTTGGAAACACTCTGTTTGTAAAGTCTGCAGGTGCTTATTTGGACTTCTTTGAGGCCTTCGTTGGAAACGGGATTTCTTCATATAATGCTAGACAGAAGAATTCTCAGTCACTTCTTTGTGTTGTGTGTATTCAAGTCACAGAGTTGAACCTTCCTTTACACAGAGCAGTTTTGAAAAACTCTTTCTGTGGAATTTGCAAGTGGAGATTTCAAGCGATTTGAGGCTAATCTTTGAAATGGAAATATCTTCGTTTAAAAACTACACAGAATCATTCTCAGAAACTGCTTTGTCATCTGTGCGTTCAGTTCACAGAGTTTCACCTTTCTCTTCATAGAGCAGTTTGGAAAGACTCTGTCTGTAAAGTCTGCAAGTGATTAGTTAGACCCCTTTGAGGCCTTCGTTGGAAGCGGGATTTCTCATTTACTGCTAGACAGAAGAATTCTCAGTAAATCCTTTGTGTTGTGTGTATTCAACTCACAGAGTGGAACCTTCCTTTATTCAGAGCAGTTTTGAAACACTCTTTTTGGGGAATTTGCAAGTGGAGATTTCAAGCGATTTGACGCCAATCTTAGACATGGAAATATCTTCATATTAAAAGTACACAGAGTCATTCGTAGAAACTAGTTTGTGATGTGTGCCTTCAACTCACAGAGTTTAACCTTTCTTTTCATAGAGCAGTTGGGAAACACTCTATTTGTAAAGTCTGCAAGTGGATATTTGGACCTCTTTGAGGCCTTCGTTGGAAACGGGATTTCTTCATATAACGCTAGACAGAAGAATTCTCAGTAACTTCTTTGTGTTGTGTGTATTCCACTCACAGAGTTGAACCTTTCTTGAGAGAGAGCAGAGTTGAAACACTCTGTTTGTGGAATTTGCTAGTGCAGATTTCAAACGCTTCGAAGACAGTGATAGAAAAGGATATATCTTCGTATTAAAACTAGACAAAATCATTCTCAGAAAACACTTTGTGATGTGTGTGTTCAACTCACAGAGTTTAACCTTTCTTTAATCGAGCAGTTTGGAAATACACTCTTTGTAAGTCTGCAGCTGGATAATTGTCCCTCTATGAGCCCTTCGTTGGAAACGGGATTTCCTCATATAATGCTAGACAGAAGAATTCTCAGTCACTTCTTTGTGTTGTGTGTATTCAAGTCACAGAGTTGAACCATCCTTTACACAGAGCAGTTTTGAAAAACTCTTTCTGTGGAATTTGCAAGTGGAGATTTCAAGCGATTTGAGGCTAATCTTTGAAATGGAAATAGCTTCGTGTAAAAACTACACAGAATCATTCTCAGAAACTTCTTTGTTATGTGTGCGTTCAGCTCACAGAGTTCCACCTTTCTTTTCATAGAGCAGTTTGGAAAGACTCTGTCTGTAAAGTCTGCAAGTGATTACTTGGACCCCTTTGAGGACTTCGTTGGAAGCGGGATTTTTTCATTTACTGCTAGACAGAAGAATTCTCAGTAAATCCTTTGTGTTGTGTGTATTCAACTCACAGAGTGGAACCTTCCTTTATTCAGAGCAGTTTTGAAAAACACTTTTTGTGGAATTTGCAAGTGGAGATTTCAAGCGATTTGACGCCAATCTTAGACATGGAAATATCTTCATATTAAAAGTACACAGAGTCATTCGTAGAAACTAGTTTGTGATGTGTGCCTTCAACTCACAGAGTTTAACCTTTCTTTTCATAGAGCAGTTTGGAAACACTCTATTTGTAAAGTCTGCAAGTGGATATTTGGACCTCTTTGAGGCCTTCGTTGGAAACGGGATTTCTTCATACAACGCTAGACAGAAGAATTCTCAGTAACTTCTTTGTGTTGTGTGTATTCAACTCACAGAGTTGAACCTTTCTTTAGAGAGAGCAGAGTTGAAACACTCTGTTTTTGGAATTTGCAAGTGCAGATTTCAAGCGCTTCTAGGCCTATGGCAGAAAAGGAAATATCTTCGTATAAAAACTACACAGAATCATTCTCAACAACTACTTTGTGATGTGTGCGTTCAACTCACAGAGTTTAACCTTTCTTTTCATAGAGCAGTTTGGAAACACTCTGTTTGTAAAGCCTGCAAGTGCTTTTTTGGACTTCATTGAGGCCTTCGTTGGAAACGGGATTTCTTCATATAATGCTAGACAGAAGAATTCTCAGTCACTTCTTTGTGTTGTGTGTATTCAAGTCACAGAGTTGAACCTTCCTTTAGACAGAGCAGTTTTGAAAAGTTCTTTCTGTGTAATTTGCAAGTGGAGATTTCAAGCGATTTGAGGCTAATCTTTGAAATGGAAATATCTTCGTGTAAAAACTACACAGAATCATTCTCAGAAACTGCTTTGTCATCTGTGCGTTCAGTTCACAGAGTTTCACCTTTCTCTTCATAGAGCAGTTTGGAAAGACTCTGTCTGTAAAGTCTGCAAGTGATTAGTTAGACCCCTTTGAGGCCTTCGTTGGAAGCGGGATTTCTCATTTACTGCTAGACAGAAGAATTCTCAGTAAATCCTTTGTGTTGTGTGTATTCATCTCACAGAGTGGAACCTTCCTTTATTCAGAGCAGTTTTGAAACACTCTTTTTGTGGAATTTGCAAGTGGAGATTTCAAGCGATTTGACGCCAATCTTAGACATGGAAATATCTTCATATTAAAAGTACACAGAGTCATTCGCAGAAACTAGTTTGTGATGTGTGCCTTCAACTCACGGAGTTTAACCTTTCTTTTCATAGAGCAGTTTGGAAACACTCTATTTGTAAAGTCTGCAAGTGGATATTTGGACCTCTTTGAGGCCTTCGTTGGAAACGGGATCTTCTTCATATAACGCTAGACAGAAGAATTCTCAGTAACTTCTTTGTGTTGTTTGTATTCAACTCACAGATTTGAACCTTCCTTTGGAGAGAGCAGATTTGAAACACTCTGTTTTTGGAATTTGCAAGTGCAGATTGCAAGCGCTTCTAGGCCTATGGCAGAAAAGGAAATATCTTCGTATAAAAACTACACAGAATCATTCTCAACAACTACTTTGTGATGTGTGCGTTCAGCTCACAGAGTTTAACCTTTCTTTTCATAGAGCAGTTTGGAAACACTCTGTTTGTAAAGTCTGCAGGTGCTTATTTGGACTTCTTTGAGGCCTTCGTTGGAAACGGGATTTCTTCATATAATGCTAGACAGAAGAATTCTCAGTCACTTCTTTGTGTTGTGTGGATTCAAGTCACAGAGTTGAACCTTCCTTTACACAGAGCAGTTTTGAAAAACTCTTTCTGTGGAATTTGCAAGTGGAGATTTCAAGCGATTTGAGGCTAATCTTTGAAATGGAAATAGCTTCGTGTAAAAACTACACAGAATCATTCTCAGAAACTGCTTTGTCATCTGTGCGTTCAGTTCACAGAGTTTCACCTTTCTCTTCATAGAGCAGTTTGGAAAGACTCTGTCTGTAAAGTCTGCAAGTGATTAGTTAGACCCCTTTGAGGCCTTCGTTGGAAGCGGGATTTCTCATTTACTGCTAGACAGAAGAATTCTCAGTAAATCCTTTGTGTTGTGTGTATTCAACTCACAGTAGTGGAACCTTCCTTTATTCAGAGCACTTTTGAAACACTCTTTTTGTGGAATTTGCAAGTGGAGATTTCAAGCGAATTCACGCCAATCTTAGACATGGAAACATCTTCGTATTAAAAGTACACAGAGTCATTCGCAGAAACTAGTTTGAGATGTGTGCCTTCAACTCACGGAGTTTAACCTTTCTTTTCATAGAGCAGTTTGGAAACACTCTATTTGTAAAGTCTGCAAGTGGATATTTGGACCTCTTTGAGGCCTTCGTTGGAAACGGGATTTCTTCATATAACGCTAGACAGAAGAATTCTCAGTAACTTCTTTGTGTTGTGTGTATTCAACTCACAGAGTTGAACCTTTCTTTAGAGAGAGCAGAGTTGAAACACTCTGTTTTTGGAATTTGCAAGTGCAGATTTCAAGCGATTCTAGGCCTATGGCAGAAAAGGAAATATCTTCGTATAAAAACTACACAGAATCATTCTCAGAAAACACTTTGTGATGTGTGTGTTCAACTCACAGAGTTTAACCTTTCTTTAATCGAGCAGTTTGGAAATACACTCTTTGTAAGTCTGCAGCTGGATAATTGTCCCTCTATGAGCCCTTCGTTGGAAACGGGATTTCCTCTTATAATGCTAGACAGAAGAATTCTCAGTCACTTCTTTGTGTTGTGTGTATTCAAGTCACAGAGTTGAACCTTCCTTTAGACAGAGCAGTTTTGAAAAATTCTTTCTGTGTAATTTGCAAGTGGAGATTTCAAGCGATTTGAGGCTAATCTTTGAAATGGAAATATCTTCGTGTAAAAACTACACAGAATCATTCTCAGAAACTGCTTTGTTATGTGTGCGTTCAGCTCACAGAGTTCCACCTTTCTTTTCATAGAGCAGTTTGGAAAGACTCTGTCTGTAAAGTCTGCAAGTGATTACTTGGACCCCTTTGAGGACTTCATTGGAAGCGGGATTTTTTCATTTACTGCTAGACAGAAGAATTCTCAGTAAATCCTTTGTGTTGTGTTTATTCAACTCACAGAGTGGAACCTTCCTTTATTCAGAGCAGTTTTCAAACACTCTTTTTGTGGAATTTGCAAGTGGAGATTTCAAGCGATTTGACGCCAATCTTAGACATGGAAATATCTTCATATTAAAAGTACACAGAATCATTCGTAGAAACTAGTTTGTGATGTGTGCCTTCAACTCACAGAGTTTAACCTTTCTTTTCATAGAGCAGTTTGGAAACACTCTATTTGTAAAGTCTGCAAGTGGATATTTGGACCTCTTTGAGGCCTTCGTTGGAAAAGGGATTTCTTCATATAACGCTAGACAGAAGAATTCTCAGTAACTTCTTTGTGTTGTTTGTATTCAACTCACAGATTTGAACCTTCCTTTAGGGAGAGCAGATTTGAAACACTCTGTTTTTGGAATTTGCAAGTGCAGATTTCAAGCGCTTCTAGGCCTATGGCAGAAAAGGAAATATCTTCGTATAAAAACTACACAGAATCATTCTCAACAACTACTTTGTGATGTGTGCGTTCAACTCACAGAGTTTAACCTTTCTTTTCATAGAGCAGTTTGGAAACACTCTGTTTGTAAACCCTGCAAGTGCTTTTTTGGACTTCATTGAGGCCTTCGTTGGAAACGGGATTTCTTCATATAATGTTAGACAGAAGAATTCTCAGTCACTTCTTTGTGTTGTGGTATTCAAGTCACGGAGATGAACCTTCCTTTAGACAGAGCAGTTTAGAGAAACTCTTTCTGTGGAATTTGCAAGTGGAGATTTCAAGCGATTTGAGGCTAATCTTTGAAATGGAAATATCTTCGTGTAAAAACTGCACAGAATCATTCTCAGAATCTGCTTTGTTATGTGTGCGTTCAGCTCACAGAGTTCCACCTTTCTTTCATAGAGAAGTTTGGAAAGACTCTGTCTGTAAAGTCTGCAAGTGATTACTTGGACCACTTTGAGGACTTCGTTGGAAGCGGGATTTTTTCATTTACTGCTAGACAGAAGAATTCTCAGTAAATCCTTTGTGTTGTGTGTATTCAACTCACAGAGTTGAACCTTTCTTTAGAGAGAGCAGATTTGAAACACTCTTTTTGTGGAATTTGCTAGTGCAGATTTCAAACGCTTCGAAGACAATGATAGAAAAGGACATATCTTCGTATTAAAACTAGACAAAGTCATTCGCAGAAACTAGTTTATGATGTGTGCCTTCAACTCACGGAGTTTAACCTTTCTTTTCATAGAGCAGTTTGGAAACACTCTATTTGTAAAGTCTGCAAGTGGATATTTGGACCTCTTTGAGGCCTTCGTTGGAAACGGGATTTTTTCATATAACGCTAGACAGAAGAATTCTCAGTAACTTCTTTGTGTTGTGTGTATTTAACTCACAGAGTTGAACCTTTCTTGAGAGAGAGCAGAGTTGAAACACTCTTTTTGTGGAATTTCCTAGTGCAGATTTCAATCGCTTCAAAGACAGTGATAGAAAAGGTTATACCTTCGTACTAAAACTAGACGAAATCATTCTCAACAACTACTTTGTGATGTGTGCGTTCAGCTCACAGAGTTTAACCTTTCTTTTCATAGAGCAGTTTGGAAACACTCTGTTTGTAAAGTCTGCAGGTGCTTATTTGGACTTCTTTGAGGCCTTCGTTCGAAACGGGATTTCTTCATATAATGCTAGACAGAAGAATTCTCAGTCACTTCTTTGTGTTGTGTGTATTCAAGTCACAGAGCTGAACCTTCCTTTACACAGAGCAGTTTTGAAAAACTCTTTCTGTGGAATTTGCAAGTGGAGATTTCAAGCGATTTGAGGCTAATCTTTGAAATGGAAATATCTTCGTGTAAAAACTACACAGAATCATTCTCAGAAACTGCTTTGTTATGTGTGCGTTCAGCTCACAGAGTTCCACCTTTCTTTTCATAGAGCAGTTTGGAAAGACTCTTTCTGTAAAGTCTTCAAGTGATTACTTGGACCCCTTTGAGGACTTCGTTGGAAGCGGGATTTTTTCATTTACTGCTAGACAGAAGAATTCTCAGTAAATCCTTAGTGTTGTGTGTATTCAACTCACAGAGTGGAACCTTCCTTTATTCAGAGCAGTTTTGAAACACTCTTTTTGTGGAATTTGCAAGTGGAGATTTCAAGCGAATTCACGCCAATCTTAGACATGGAAACATCTTCGTATTAAAAGTACACAGAGTCATTCGTAGAAACTAGTTTGTGATGTGTGCCTTCAACTCACAGAGTTTAACCTTTCTTTTCATAGAGCAGTTCGGAAACACTCTATTTGTAAAGTCTGCAAGTGGATATTTGGACCTCTTTGAGGCCTTCGTTGGAAACGGGATTTCTTCATATAACGCTAGACAGAAGAATTCTCAGTAACTTCTTTGTGTTGTGTGTATTCAACTCACAGAGTTGAACCCTTCTTTAGAGAGAGCAGAGTTGAAACACTCTTTTTGTGGAATTTGCTAGTGCAGATTTCAAACGCTTCGAAGACAGTGATAGAAAAGGATATATCTCCGTATTAAAACTAGACAAAATCATTCTCAACAACTACTTTGTGATGTGTGCGTTCAACTCACAGAGTTTAACCTTTCTTTTCATAGAGCAGTTTGGAAACACTCTGTTTGTAAAGTCTGCAGGTGCTTATTTGGACTTCTTTGAGGCCTTCGTTGGAAACGGGATTTCTTCATATAATGCTAGACAGAAGAATTCTCAGTCACTTCTTTGTGTTGTGTGTATTCAAGTCACAGAGTTGAACCTTCCTTTACACAGAGCAGTTTTGAAAAACTCTTTCTGTGGAATTTGCAAGTGGAGATTTCAAGCGATTTGAGGCTAATCTTTGAAATGGAAATATCTTCGTGTAAAAACTACACAGAATCATTCTCAGAAACTGCTTTCTTATGTGTGCGTTCAGCTCACAGAGTTCCACCTTTCTTTTCATAGAGCAGTTTGGAAAGACTCTGTCTGTAAAGTCTGCAAGTGATTACTTGGACCCCTTTGAGGACTTCGCTGGAAGCGGGATTTTTTCATTTACTGCTAGACAGAAGAATTCTCAGTAAATCCTTTGTGTTGTGTGTATTCAACTCACAGAGTGGAACCTTCCTTTATTCAGAGCAGTTTTGAAACACTCTTTTTGTGGAATTTGCAAGTGGAGATTTCAAGCGATTTGACGCCAATCTTAGACATGGAAATATCTTCATATTAAAAGTACACAGAGTCATTCGTAGAAACTAGTTTGTGATGTGTGCCTTCAACTCACAGAGTTTAACCTTTCTTTTCATAGAGCAGTTCGGAAACACTCTATTTGTAAAGTCTGCAAGTGGATATTTGGACCTCTTTGAGGCCTTCGTTGGAAACGGGATTTCTTCATATAACGCTTGACAGAAGAATTCTCAGTAACTTCTTTGTGTTGTGTGTATTCAACTCACAGAGTTGAACCTTTCTTGAGAGAGAGCAGAGTTGAAACACTCTTTTTGTGGAATTTGCTAGTGCAGATTTCAAACGCTTCGAAGACAGTGATAGAAAAGGATATATCTTCGTATTAAAACTAGACAAAATCATTCTCAACAACTACTTTGTGATGTGTGCGTTCAACTCACAGAGTTTAACCTTTCTTTTCATAGAGCAGTTTGGAAACACTCTGTTTGTAAAGCCTGCAAGTGCTTTTTTGGACTTCATTGAGGCCTTCGTTGGAAACGGGATTTCTTCATATAATGCTAGACAGAAGAATTCTCAGTCACTTCTTTGTGTTGTGTGTATTCAAGTCACAGAGTTGAACCTTCCTTTAGACAGAGCAGTTTTGAAAAATTCTTTCTGTGGAGTTTGCAAGTGGAGATTTCCAGCGATTTGAGGCTAATCTTTGAAATGGAAATATCTTCGTGTAAAAACTACACAGAATCATTCTCAGAAACTGCTTTGTCATCTGTGCGTTCAGTTCACAGAGTTTCACCTTTCTCTTCATAGAGCAGTTTGGAAAGACTCTGTCTGTAAAGTCTGCAAGTGATTAGTTAGACCCCTTTGAGGCCTTCGTTGGAAGCGGGATTTCTCATTTACTGCTAGACAGAAGAATTCTCAGTAAATCCTTTGTGTTGTGTGTATTCAACTCACAGAGTGGAACCTTCCTTTATTCAGAGCAGTTTTGAAAAACACTTTTTGTGGAATTTGCAAGTGGAGATTTCAAGCGATTTGACGCCAATCTTAGACATGGAAATATCTTCATATTAAAAGTACACAGAATCATTCGTAGAAACTAGTTTGTGATGTGTGCCTTCAACTCACAGAGTTTAACCTTTCTTTTCATAGAGCAGTTCGGAAACATTCTATTTGTAAAGTCTGCAAGTGGATATTTGGACCTCTTTGAGGCCTTCGTTGGAAAAGGGATTTCTTCATATAACACTAGACAGAAGAATTCTCAGTAACTTCTTTGTGTTGTGTGTATTCAACTCACAGAGTTGAACCTTTCTTTAGAGAGAGCAGAGTTGAAACACTCTTTTTGTGGAATTTGCTAGTGCAGATTTCAAACGCTTCGAAGACAGTGATAGAAAAGGATATATCTTCGTATTAAAACTAGCCAAAATCATTCTCAACAACTACTTTGTGATGTGTGCGTTCACCTCACAGAGTTTAACCTTTCTTTTCATAGAGCAGTTTGGAAACACTCTGTTTGTAAAGTCTGCAGGTGCTTATTTGGACTTCTTTGAGGCCTTCGTTGGAAACGGGATTTCTCATATAATGCTAGACAGAAGAATTCTCAGTCACTTCTTTGTGTTGTGTGTATTCAAGTCACAGAGTTGAACCTTCCTTTAGACAGAGCAGTTTTGAAAAATTCTTTCTGTGTAATTTGCAAGTGGAGATTTCAAGCGATTTGAGGCTAATCTTTGAAATGGAAATATCTTCGTGTAAAAACTACACAGAATCATTCTCAGAAACTGCTTTGTCATCTGTGCGTTCAGTTCACAGAGTTTCACCTTTCTCTTCATAGAGCAGTTTGGAAAGACTCTGTCTGTAAAGTCTGCAAGTGATTAGTTAGACCCCTTTGAGGCCTTCGTTGGAAGCGGGATTTCTCATTTACTGCTAGACAGAAGAATTCTCAGTAAATCCTTTGTGTTGTGTTTATTCAACTCACAGAGTGGAACCTTCCTTTATTCAGAGCAGTTTTGAAACACTCTGTTTGTGGAATTTGCAAGTGGAGATTTCAAGCGATTTGACGCCAATCTTAGACATGGAAATATCTTCATATTAAAAGTACACAGACATTTGTAGAAACTAGTTTGTGATGTGTGCCTTCAACTCACAGAGTTTAACCTTTCTTTTCATAGAGCAGTTTGGAAACACTCTATTTGTAAAGTCTGCAAGTGGATATTTGGACCTCTTTGAGGCCTTCGTTGGAAACGGGATTTCTTCATATAACGCTAGACAGAAGAATTCTCAGTAACTTCTTTGTGTTGTGTGTATTCAACTCACAGAGTTGAACCTTTCTTTAGAGGGAGCAGAGTTGAAACACTCTTTTTGTGGAATTTGCTAGTGCAGATTTCAAACGCTTCGAAGACAGTGATAGCAAAGGATATATCTTCGTATTAAAACTAGACAAAGTCATTCGCAGAAACTAGTTTGTGATGTGTGCGTTCAACTCACAGAGTTTAACCTTTCTTTTCATAGAGCAGTTTGGAAACACTCTGTTTGTAAAGTCTGCAGGTGCTTATTTGGACTTCTTTGAGGCCTTCGTTGGATACGGGATTTCTTCATATAATGCTAGACAGAAGAATTCTCAGTCACTTCTTTGTGTTGTGTGTATTCAAGTCACAGAGTTGAACCTTCCTTTACACAGAGCAGTTTTGAAAAACTCTTTCTGTGGAATTTGCAAGTGGAGATTTCAAGCGATTTGAGGCTAATCTTTGAAATGGAAATATCTTCGTGTAAAAACTACACAGAATCATTGTCAGAAACTGCTTTGTTATGTGTGCGTTCAGCTCACAGAGTTCCACCTTTCTTTTCATAGAGCAGTTTGGAAAGACTCTGTCTGTAAAGTCTGCAAGTGATTACTTGGACCCCTTTGAGGACTTCGTTGGAAGCGGGATTTTTTCATTTACTGCTAGACAGAAGAATTCTCAGTAAATCCTTTGTGTTGTGTGTATTCAACTCACAGAGTGGAACCTTCCTTTATTCAGAGCAGTTTTGAAACACTCTTTTTGTGGAATTTGCAAGTGGAGATTTCAAGCGAATTCACGCCAATCTTAGACATGGAAACATCTTCGTATTAAAAGTACACAGAGTCATTCGCAGAAACTAGTTTGTGATGTGTGCCTTCAACTCACAGAGTTTAACCTTTCTTTTCATAGAGCAGTTTGGAAACACTCTATTTGTAAAGTCTGCAAGTGGATATTTGGACCTCTTTGAGGCCTTCGTTGGAAACGGGATTTCTTCATATAACGCTAGACAGAAGAATTCTCAGTAACTTCTTTGTGTTGTGTGTATTCCACTCACAGAGTTGAACCTTTCTTGAGAGAGAGCAGAGTTGAAACACTCTGTTTGTGGAATTTGCTAGTGCCGATTTCAAACGCTTCGAAGACAGTGATAGAAAAGGATATATCTTCGTATTAAAACTAGACAAAATCATTCTCAACAACTACTTTGTGATGTGTGCGTTCAACTCACAGAGTTTAACCTTTCTTTTCATAGAGCAGTTTGGAAACACTCTGTTTGTAAAGTCTGCAGGTGCTTATTTGGACTTCTTTGAGGCCTTCGTTGGAAACGGGATTTCTTCATATAATGCTAGACAGAAGAATTCTCAGTCACTTCTTTGTGTTGTGTGTATTCAAGTCACAGAGTTGAACCTTCCTTTACACAGAGCAGTTTTGAAAAACTCTTTCTGTGGAATTTGCAAGTGGAGATTTCAAGCGATTTGAGGCTAATCTTTGAAATGGAAATATCTTCGTGTAAAAACTACACAGAATCATTCTCAGAAACTGCTTTGTTATGTGTGCGTTCAGCTCACAGAGTTCCACCTTTCTTTTCATAGAGCAGTTTGGAAAGACTCTGTCTGTAAAGTCTGCAAGTGATTACTTGGACCCCTTTGAGGACTTCGTTGGAAGCGGGATTTTTTCATTTACTGCTAGACAGAAGAATTCTCAGTAAATCCTTTGTGTTGTGTGTATTCAACTCACAGAGTGGAACCTTCCTTTATTCAGAGCAGTTTTGAAAAACACTTTTTGTGGAATTTGCAAGTGGAGATTTCAAGCGATTTGACGCCAATCTTAGACATGGAAATATCTTCATATTAAAAGTACACAGAGTCATTCGTAGAAACTAGTTTGTGATGTGTGCCTTCAACTCACAGAGTTTAACCTTTCTTTTCATAGAGCAGTTTGGAAACACTCTATTTGTAAAGTCTGCAAGTGGATATTTGGACCTCTTTGAGGCCTTCGTTGGAAACGGGATTTCTTCATACAACGCTAGACAGAAGAATTCTCAGTAACTTCTTTGTGTTGTGTGTATTCAACTCACAGAGTTGAACCTTTCTTTAGAGAGAGCAGAGTTGAAACACTCTGTTTTTGGAATTTGCAACTGCAGATTTCAAGCGATTCTAGGCCAATGGCAGAAAAGGAAATATCTTCGTATAAAAACTACACAGAATCATTCTCAACAACTACTTTGTGATGTGTGCGTTCAACTCACAGAGTTTAAACTTTCTTTTCATAGAGCAGTTTGGAAACACTCTGTTTGTAAAGCCTGCAAGTGCTTTTTTGGACTTCATTGAGGCCTTCGTTTGAAACGGGATTTCTTCATATAATGCTAGACAGAAGAATTCTCAGTCACTTCTTTGTGTTTTGTGTATTCAAGTCACAGAGTTGAACCTTCCTTTAGACAGAGCAGTTTTGAAAAATACTTTCTGTGGAATTTGCAATTGGAGATTTTAAGAGATTTGAGGCTAATCTTTGAAATGGAAATATCTTCGTGTAAAAACTACACAGAATCATTCTCAGAAACTGCTTTGTTATCTGTGCGTTCAGTTCACAGAGTTTCACCTTTCTCTTCATAGAGCAGTTTGGAAAGACTCTGTCTGTAAAGTCTGCAAGTGATTAGTTAGACCCCTTTGAGGCCTTCGTTGGAAGCGGGATTTCTCATTTACTGCTAGACAGAAGAATTCTCAGTAAATCCTTTGTGTTGTGTGTATTCAACTTACAGAGTGGAACCTTCCTTTATTCAGAGCAGTTTTGAAAAACACTTTTTGTGGAATTTGCAAGTGGAGATTTCAAGCGATTTGACGCCTATCTTAGACATGGAAATATCTTCATATTAAAAGTACACAGAAGTCATTCGTAGAAACTAGTTTGTGATGTGTGCCTTCAACTCACAGGAGTTTAACCTTTCTTTTCATAGAGCAGTTGGGAAACACTCTATTTGTAAAGTCTGCAAGTGGATATTTGGACCTCTTTGAGGCCTTCGTTGGAAACGGGATTTCTTCATATAACGCTAGACAGAAGAATTCTCAGTAACTTCTTTGTGTTGTGTGTATTCAACTCACAGAGTTGAACCTTTCTTTAGAGAGAGCAGAGTTGAAACACTCTGTTTTTGGAATTTGCAAGTGCAGATTTCAAGCGATTCTAGGCGTATGGCAGAAAAGGAAATATCTTCATATAAAAACTACACAGAATCATTCTCAACAACTACTTTGTGATGTGTGCGTTCAACTCACAGAGTTTAACCTTTCTTTTCATAGAGCAGTTTGGATACACTCTGTTTGTAAAGCCTGCAAGTGCTTTTTTGGACTTCATTGAGGCCTTCGTTGGAAACGGGATTTCTTCATATAATGCTAGACAGAAGAATTCTCAGTCACTTCTTTGTGTTGTGTGTATTCAAGTCACAGAGTTGAACCTTCCTTTAGACAGAGCAGTTTTGAAAAATTCTTTCTGTGGAATTTGCAAGTGGAGATTTCAAGCGATTTGAGGCTAATCTTTGAAATGGAAATATCTTCGTGTAAAAACTACACAGAATCATTGTCAGAAACTGCTTTGTTATGTGTGCGTTCAGCTCACAGAGTTCCACCTTTCTTTTCATAGAGCAGTTTGGAAAGACTCTGTCTGTAAAGTCTGCAAGTGATTACTTGGACCCCTTTGAGGACTTCGTTGGAAGCGGGATTTTTTCATTTACTGCTAGACAGAAGAATTCTCAGTAAATCCTTTGTGTTGTGTGTATTCAACTCACAGAGTGGAACCTTCCTGTATTCAGAGCAGTTTTGAAACACTCTTTTTGTGGAATTTGCAAGTGGAGATTTCAAGCGAATTCACGCCAATCTTAGACATGGAAACATCTTCGTATTAAAAGTACACAGAGTCATTCGCAGAAACTAGTTTGTGATGTGTGCCTTCAACTCACGGAGTTTAACCTTTCTTTTCATAGAGCAGTTTGGAAACACTCTATTTGTTAAGTCTGCAAGTGGATATTTGGACCTCTTTGAGGCCTTCGTTGGAAACGGGATTTCTTCATATAACGCTAGACAGAAGAATTCTCAGTAACTTCTTTGTGTTGTGTGTTTTCAACTCACAGAGTTGAACCTTTCTTGAGAGAGAGCAGAGTTGAAACACTCTTTCTGTGGAATTTGCTAGTGCAGATTTCAAACGCTTCGAAGACAATGATAGAAAAGGATATATCTTCGTATTAAAACTAGACAAAATCATTCTCAGAAAACACTTTGTGATGTGTGTGTTCAACTCACAGAGTTTAACCTTTCTTTAATCGAGCAGTTTGGAAATACACTCTTTGTAAGTCTGCAGCTGGATAATTGTCCCTCTATGAGCCCTTCGTTGGAAACAGGATTTCCTCTTATAATGCTAGACAGAAGAATTCTCAGTCACTTCTTTGTGTTGTGTGTATTCAAGTCACAGAGTTGAACCTTCCTTTACACAGAGCAGTTTTGAAAAACTCTTTCTGTGGAATTTGCAAGTGGAGATTTCAAGCGATTTGAGGCTAATCTTTGAAATGGAAATAGCTTCGTGTAAAAACTACACAGAATCATTCTCAGAAACTGCTTTGTTATGTGTGCGTTCAGCTCACAGAGTTCCACCTTTCTTTTCATAGAGCAGTTTGGAAAGACTCTGTCTGTAAAGTCTGCAAGTGATTACTTGGACCCCTTTGAGGACTTCGTTGGAAGCGGGATTTTTTCATTTACTGCTAGACAGAAGAATTCTCAGTAAATCCTTTGTGTTGTGTGTATTCAACTCACAGAGTGGAACCTTCCTTTATTCAGAGCAGTTTTCAAACACTCTTTTTGTGGAATTTGCAAGTGGAGATTTCAAGCGATTTGACGCCAATCTTAGACATGGAAATATCTTCATATTAAAAGTACACAGAGTCATTCGTAGAAACTAGTTTGTGATGTGTGCCTTCAACTCACAGAGTTTAACCTTTCTTTTCATAGAGCAGTTGGGAAACACTCTATTTGTAAAGTCTGCAAGTGGATATTTGGACCTCTTTGAGGCCTTCGTTGGAAACGGGATTTCTTCATATAACGCTAGACAGAAGAATTCTCAGTAACTTCTTTGTGTTGTGTGTATTCAACTCACAGAGTTGAACCTTTCTTTAGAGGGAGCAGAGGTGAAACACTCTTTTTGTGGAATTTGCTAGTGCAGATTTCAAACGCTTCGAAGACAGTGATAGAAAAGGATATATCTTCGTATTAAAAGTAGACAAAAATCATTCTCAACAACTACTTTGTGATGTGTGCGTTCAACTCACAAAGTTTAACCTTTCTTTTCATAGAGCAGTTTGGAAACACTCTGTTTGTAAAGCCTGCAAGTGCTTTTTTGGACTTCATTGAGGCCTTCGTTGGAAACGGGATTTCTTCATATAATGCTAGACAGAAGGATTCTCAGTAACTTCTTTGTGTTGTGTGTATTCAAGTCACAGAGTTGAACCTTCTTTTAGACAGAGCAGTTTTGAAAAATTCTTTCTGTGGAATTTGCAAGTGGAGATTTCAAGCGATTTGAGGCTAATCTTTGAAATGGAAATATCTTCGTGTCAAAACTACACAGAAATCATTCTCAGAAACTGCTTTGTTATCTGTGCGTTCAGTTCACAGAGTTTAACCTTTCTCTTCATAGAGCAGTTTGGAAAGACTCTGTCTGTAAAGTCCGCAAGTGATTAGTTAGACCCCTTTGAGGCCTTCGTTGGAAGCGGGATTTCCCATTTACTGCTAGACAGAAGAATTCTCAGTAAATCCTTTGTGTTGTGTGTATTCAACTCACAGAGTGGAACCTTCCTTTATTCAGAGCAGTTTTGAAACACTCTTTTTGTGGAATTTGCAAGTGGAGATTTCAAGCGAATTCACGCCAATCTTAGACATGGAAACATCTTCGTATTAAAAGTACACAGAGTCATTCGCAGAAACTAGTTTGTGATGTGAGCCTTCAACTCACGGAGTTTAACCTTTCTTTTCATAGAGCAGTTTGGAAACACTCTATTTGTAAGTCTGCAAGTGGATATTTGGACCTCTTTGAGGCCTTCGTTGGAAACGGGATTTCTTCATATAACGCTAGACAGAAGAATTCTCAGTAACTTCTTTGTATTGTTTGTATTCAACTCACAGATTTGAACCTTCCTTTAGAGAGAGCAGTTTTGAAACACTCTGTTTTTGGAATTTGCAAGTGCAGATTTCAAGCGCTTCTAGGCCTATGGCAGAAAAGGAAATATCTTCGTATAAAAACTACACAGAATCATTCTCAACAACTACTTTGTGATGTGTGCGTTCAACTCACAGAGTTTAACCTTTCTTTTCATAGAGCAGTTTGGAAACACTCTGTTTGTAAAGTCTGCAGGTGCTTATTTGGACTTCTTTGAGGCCTTCGTTGGAAACGGGATTTCTTCATATAATGCTAGACAGAAGAATTCTCAGTCACTTCTTTGTGTTGTGTGTATTCAAGTCACAGAGTTGAACCTTCCTTTACACAGAGCAGTTTTGAAAAACTCTTTCTGTGGAATTTGCAAGTGGAGATTTCAAGCGATTTGAGGCTAATCTTTGAAATGGAAATATCTTCGTGTAAAAACTACACAGAATCATTCTCAGAAACTGCTTTGTTATGTGTGCGTTCAGCTCACAGAGTTCCACCTTTCTTTTCATAGAGCAGTTTGGAAAGACTCTGTCTGTAAAGTCTGCAAGTGATTACTTGGACCCCTTTGAGGACTTCGTTGGAAGCGGGATTTTTTCATTTACTGCTAGACAGAAGAATTCTCAGTAAATCCTTTGTGTTGTGTGTATTCAACTCACAGAGTGGAACCTTCCTTTATTCAGAGCAGTTTTGAAACACTCTTTTTGTGGAAATTGCAAGTGGAGATTTCAAGCGAATTCACGCCAATCTTAGACATGGAAACATCTTCGTATTAAAAGTACACAGAGTCATTCGCAGAAACTAGTTTGTGATGTGTGCCTTCAACTCACGGAGTTTAACCTTTCTTTTCATAGAGCAGTTTGGAAACACTCTATTTGTAAAGTCTGCAAGTGGATATTTGGACCTCTTTGAGGCCTTCGTTGGAAACGGGATTTCTTCATATAACGCTAGACAGAAGAATTCTCAGTAACTTCTTTGTGTTGTTTGTATTCAACTCACAGATTTGAACCTTCCTTTGGAGAGAGCAGATTTGAAACCCTCTGTTTTTGGAATTTGCAAGTGCAGATTGCAAGCGCTTCTAGGCCTATGGCAGAAAAGGAAATATCTTCGTATAAAAACTACACAGAATCATTCTCAACAACTACTTTGTGATGTGTGCGTTCAGCTCACAGAGTTTAACCTTTCTTTTCATAGAGCAGTTTGGAAACACTCTGTTTGTAAAGTCTGCAGGTGCTTATTTGGACTTCTTTGAGGCCTTCGTTGGAAACGGGATTTCTTCATATAATGCTAGACAGAAGAATTCTCAGTTACTTCTTTGTGTTGTGTGTATTCAACTCACAGAGTTGAAACTTTCTTTAGAGAGAGCAGAGTTGAAACACTCTGTTTTTGGAATTTGCAAGTGCAGATTTCAAGCGATTCTAGGCCTATGGCAGAAAAGGAAATATCTTCGTATAAAAACTACACAGAATCATTCTCAACAACTACTTTGTGATGTGTGCGTTCAACTCACAGAGTTTAAACTTTCTTTTCATAGAGTAGTTTGGAAACACTCTGTTTGTAAAGCCTGCAAGTGCTTTTTTGGACTTCATTGAGGCCTTCGTTGGAAACGGGATTTCTTCATATAATGCTAGACAGAAGAATTCTCAGTCACTTCTTTGTGTTGTGTGTATTCAAGTCACAGAGTTGAACCTTCCTTTAGACAGAGCAGTTTTGAAACACTCTTTTTGTGGAATTTGCAAGTGGAGATTTCAAGCGATTTGACGCCAATCTTAGACATGGAAATATCTTCATATTAAAAGTACACAGAGTCATTCGTAAAAACTAGTTTGTGATGTGTGCCTTCAACTCACAGAGTTTAACCTTTCTTTTCATAGAGCAGTTTGGAAACACTCTATTTGTAAAGTCTGCAAGTGGATATTTGGACCTCCTTTGAGGCCTTCGTTGGAAACGGGATTTCTTCATACAACGCTAGACAGAAGAATTCTCAGTAACTTCTTTGTGTTGTTTGTATTCAACTCACAGATTTGAACCTTCCTTTGGAGAGAGCAGATTTGAAACACTCTGTTTTTGGAATTTGCAAGTGCAGATTGCAAGCGCTTCTAGGCCTATGGCAGAAAAGGAAATATCTTCGTATAAAAACTACACAGAATCATTCTCAACAACTACTTTGTGATGTGTGCATTCAGCTCACAGAGTTTAACCTTTCTTTTCATAGAGCAGTTTGGAAACACTCTGTTTGTAAAGTCTGCAGGTGCTTATTTGGACTTCTTTGAGGCCTTCGTTGGAAACGGGATTTCTTCATATAATGCTAGACAGAAGAATTCTCAGTCACTTCTTTGTGTTGTGTGTATTCAAGTCACAGAGTTGAACCTTCCTTTACACAGAGCAGTTTTGAAAAACTCTTTCTGTGGAATTTGCAAGTGGAGATTTCAAGCGATTTGAGGCTAATCTTTGAAATGGAAATATCTTCGTGTAAAAACTACACAGAATCATTGTCAGAAACTGCTTTGTTATGTGTGCGTTCAGCTCACAGAGTTCCACCTTTCTTTTCATAGAGCAGTTTGGAAAGACTCTGTCTGTAAAGTCTGCAAGTGATTACTTGGACCCCTTTGAGGACTTCGTTGGAAGCGGGATTTTTTCATTTACTGCTAGACAGAAGAATTCTCAGTAAATCCTTTGTGTTGTGTGTATTCAACTCACAGAGTGGAACCTTCCTTTATTCAGAGCAGTTTTGAAACACTCTTTTTGTGGAATTTGCAAGTGGAGATTTCAAGCGAATTCACGCCAATCTTAGACATGGAAACATCTTCGTATTAAAAGTACACAGAGTCATTCGCAGAAACTAGTTTGTGTTGTGTGCCTTCAACTCACAGAGTTTAACCTTTCTTTTCATAGAGCATTTTGGAAACACTCTATTTGTAAAGTCTGCAAGTGGATATTTGGACGTCTTTGAGGCCTTCGTTGGAAACGGGATTTCTTCATGTAACGCTAGACAGAAGAATTCTCAGTAACTTCTTTGTGTTGTTTGTATTCAACTCACAGATTTGAACCTTCCTTTAGAGAGAGCAGATTTGAAACACTCTGTTTTTGGAATTTGCAAGTGCAGATTACAAGCGCTTCTAGGCCTATGGCAGAAAAGGAAATATCTTCGTATAAAAACTACACAGAATCATTCTCAACAACTACTTTGTGATGTGTGCGTTCAACTCACAGAGTTTAACCTTTCTTTTCATAGAGCAGTTTGGAAACACTCTGTTTGTAAAGCCTGCAAGTGCTTTTTTGGACTTCATTGAGGCCTTCGTTGGAAACGGGATTTCTTCATATAATGCTAGACAGAAGAATTCTCAGTCACTTCTTTGTGTTGTGTGTATTCAAGTCACAGAGTTGAACCTTCCTTTAGACAGAGCAGTTTTGAAAAATTCTTTCTGTGGAGTTTGCAATTGGAGATTTTAAGAGATTTGAGGCTAATCTTTGAAATGGAAATATCTTCGTGTAAAAACTACACAGAATCATTCTCAGAAACTGCTTTGTTATCTGTGCGTTCAGTTCACAGAGTTTCACCTTTCTCTTCATAGAGCAGTTTGGAAAGACTCTGTCTGTAAAGTCTGCAAGTGATTAGTTAGACCCCTTTGAGGCCTTCGTTGGAAGCGGGATTTCTCATTTACTGCTAGACAGAAGAATTCTCAGTAAATCCTTTGTGTTGTGTGTATTCAACTCACAGAGTGGAACCTTCCTTTATTCAGAGCAGTTTTGAAAAACACTTTTTGTGGAATTTGCAAGTGGAGATTTCAAGCGATTTGACGCCAATCTTAGACATGGAAATATCTTCATATTAAAAGTACACAGAGTCATTCATAGAAACTAGTTTGTGATGTGTGCCTTCAACTCACAGAGTTTAACCTTTCTTTTCATAGAGCAGTTTGGAAACACTCTATTTGTAAAGTCTGCAAGTGGATATTTGGACCTCTTTGAGGCCTTCGTTGGAAACGGGATTTCTTCATACAACGCTAGACAGAAGAATTCTCAGTAACTTCTTTGTGTTGTGTGTATTCAACTCACAGAGTTGAACCTTTCTTTAGAGAGAGCAGAGTTGAAACACTCTGTTTTTGGAATTTGCAACTGCAGATTTCAAGCGATTCTAGGCCTATGGCAGAAAAGGAATTATCTTCGTATAAAAACTACACAGAATCATTCTCAACAACGACTTTGTGATGTGTGCGTTCAACTCACAGAGTTTAACCTTTCTTTTCATAGAGCAGTTTGGAAACACTCTGTTTGTAAAGCCTGCAAGTGCTTTTTTGGACTTCATTGAGGCCTTCGTTGGAAACGGGATTTCTTCATGTAATGCTAGACAGAAGAATTCTCAGTCACTTCTTTGTGTTGTGTGTATTCAAGTCACAGAGTTGAACCTTCCTTTAGACAGAGCAGTTTTGAAAAATTCTTTCTGTGGAGTTTGCAAGTGGAGATTTCAAGCGATTGGAGGCTAATCTTTGAAATGGAAATATCTTCGTGTAAAAACTACACAGAATCATTCTCAGAAACTGCTTTGTCATCTGTGCGTTCAGTTCACAGAGTTTCACCTTTCTCTTCATAGAGCAGTTTGGAAAGACTCTGTCTGTAAAGTCTGCAAGTGATTAGTTAGACCCCTTTGAGGCCTTCGTTGGAAGCGGGATTTCTCATTTACTGCTAGACAGAAGAATTCTCAGTAAATCCTTTGTGTTGTGTGTATTCAACTCACAGAGTGGAACCTTCCTTTATTCAGAGCAGTTTTGAAACACTCTTTTTGTGGAATTTGCAAGTGGAGATTTCAAGCGAATTCACGCCAATCTTAGACATGGAAACATCTTCGTATTAAAAGTACACAGAGTCATTTGCAGAAACTAGTTTGTGATGTGTGCCTTCAACTCACGGAGTTTAACCTTTCTTTTCATAGAGCAGTTTGGAAACACTCTATTTGTAAAGTCTGCAAGTGGATATTTGGACCTCTTTGAGGCCTTCGTTGGAAACGGGATTTCTTCATATAACGCTAGACAGAAGAATTCTCAGTAACTTCTTTGTGTTGTGTGTATTCAACTCACAGAGTTGAACCTTTCTTGAGAGAGAGCAGAGTTGAAACACTCTGTTTGTGGAATTTGCTAGTGCAGATTTCAAACGCTTCGAAGACAGTGATAGAAAAGGATATATCTTCGTATTAAAACTAGACAAAATCATTCTCAGAAAACACTTTGTGATGTGTGTGTTCAACTCACAGAGTTTAACCTTTCTTTAATCGAGCAGTTTGGAAATACACTCTTTGTAAGTCTGCAGCTGGATAATTGTCCCTCTATGAGCCCTTCGTTGGAAACTGGATTTCCTCTTATAATGCTAGACAGAAGAATTCTCAGTCACTTCTTTGTGTTGTGTGTATTCAAGTCACAGAGTTGAACCTTCCTTTAGACAGAGCAGTTTTGAAAAATTCTTTCTGTGGAGTTTGCAAGTGGAGATTTCAAGCGATTTGAGGCTAATCTTTGAAATGGAAATATCTTCGTGTAAAAACTACACAGAAGCATTCTCAGAAACTGCTTTGTCGTCTGTGCGTTCAGTTCACAGAGTTTCACCTTTCTCTTCATAGAGCAGTTTGGAAAGACTCTGTCTTTAAAGTCTGCAAGTGATTAGTTAGACCCCTTTGAGGCCTTCGTTGGAAGCGGGATTTCTCATTTACTGCTAGACAGAAGAATTCTCAGTAAATCCTTTGTGTTGTGTGTATTCAACTCACAGAGTGGAACCTTCCTTTATTCAGAGCACTTTTGAAAAACACTTTTAGTGGAATTTGCAAGTGGAGATTTCAAGCGATTTGACGCCAATCTTAGACATGGAAATATCTTCATATTAAAAGTACACAGAATCATTCGTAGAAACTAGTTTGTGATGTGTGCCTTCAACTCACAGAGTTTAACCTTTCTTTTCATAGAGCAGTTCGGAAACATTCTATTTGTAAAGTCTGCAAGTGGATATTTGGACCTCTTTGAGGCCTTCGTTGGAAAAGGGATTTCTTCATATAACACTAGACAGAAGAATTCTCAGTAACTTCTTTGTGTTGTGTGTATTCAACTCACAGAGTTGAACCTTTCTTTAGAGAGAGCAGAGTTGAAACACTCTTTTTGTGGAATTTGCTAGTGCAGATTTCAAACGCTTCGAAGACAGTGATAGAAAAGGATATATCTTCGTATTAAAACTAGCCAAAATCATTCTCAGAAAACACTTTGTGATGTGTGTGTTCAACTCACAGAGTTTAACCTTTCTTTAATCGAGTAGTTTGGAAATACACTCTTTGTAAGTCTGCAGGTGGATAATTGGCCCTCTTTGAACCCTTCTTTGGAAACGGGATTTCCTCATATAATGCTAGACAGAAGCATTCTCAGTCACTTCTTTGTGTTGTGTGTATTCAAGTCACAGAGTTGAACCTTCTTTTAGACAGAGCAGTTTTGAAAAATTTTTTCTGTGGAATTTGCAAGTGGAGATTTCAAGCGATTTGAGGCTAATCTTTGAAATGGAAATATCTTCGTGTAAAAACTACACAGAATCATTCTCAGAAACTGCTTTGTTATGTGTGCGTTCAGCTCACAGAGTTCCACCTTTCTTTTCATAGAGCAGTTTGGAAAGACTCTGTCTGTAAAGTCTGCAAGTGATTACTTGGACCCCTTTGAGGACTTCGTTGGAAGCGGGATTTTTTCATTTACTGCTAGACAGAAGAATTCTCAGTAAATCCTTTGTGTTGTGTGTATTCAACTCACAGAGTGGAACCTTCCTTTATTCAGAGCACTTTTGAAACACTCTTTTTGTGGAATTTGCAAGTGCAGATTTCAAGCGAATTCACGCCAATCTTAGACATGGAAACATCTTCGTATTAAAAGTACACAGAGTCATTCGCAGAAACTAGTTTGTGATGTGTGCCTTCAACTCACGGAGTTTAACCTTTCTTTTCATAGAGCAGTTTGGAAACACTCTATCTGTAAAGTCTGTAAGTGGATATTTGGACCTCTTTGAGGCCTTCGTTGGAAACGGGATTTCTTCATATAACGCTAGACAGAAGAATTCTCAGTAACTTCTTTGTGTTGTGTGTATTCCACTCACAGAGTTGAACCTTTCTTGAGAGAGAGCAGAGTTGAAACACTCTGTTTGTGGAATTTGCTAGTGCAGATTTCAAACGCTTCGAAGACAGTGATAGAAAAGGATATATCTTCGTATTAAAACTAGACAAAATCATTCTCAGAAAACACTTTGTGATGTGTGTGTTCAACTCACAGAGTTTAACCTTTCTTTAATCGAGCAGTTTGGAAATACACTCTTTGTAAGTCTGCAGCTGGATAATTGTCCCTCTATGAGCCCTTCGTTGGAAACGGGATTTCCTCTTATAATGCTAGACAGAAGAATTCTCAGTAACTTCTTTGTGTTGTTTGTATTCAACTCACAGATTTGAACCTTCCTTTGGAGAGAGCAGATTTGAAACACTCTGTTTTTGGAATTTGCAAGTGCAGATTGCAAGCGCTTCTAGTCCTATGGCAGAAAAGGAAATATCTTCGTATAAAAACTACACAGAATCATTCTCAGAAAACACTTTGTGATGTGTGTGTTCAACTCACAGAGTTTAACCTTTCTTTAATCGAGCAGTTTGGAAATACACTCTTTGTAAGTCTGCAGGTGGATAATTGGCCCTCTTTGAGCCCTTCATTGGAAACGGGATTTCCTCATATAATGCTAGACAGAAGAATTCTCAGTCACTTCTTTGTGTTGTGTGTATTCAAGTCACAGAGTTGAACCTTCCTTTAGACAGAGCAGTTTTGAAAAATTCTTTCTGTGGAGTTTGCAAGTGGAGATTTCAAGCGATTTGAGGCTAATCTTTGAAATGGAAATATCTTCGTGTAAAAACTACACAGAATCATTCTCAGAAACTGCTTTGTTATGTGTGCGTTCAGCTCACAGAGTTCCACCTTTCTTTTCATAGAGCAGTTTGGAAAGACTCTGTCTGTAAAGTCTGCAAGTGATTACTTGGACCCCTTTGAGGACTTCGTTGGAAGCGGGATTTTTTCATTTACTGCTAGACAGAAGAATTCTCAGTAAATCCTTTCTGTTGTGTGTATTCAACTCACAGAGTGGAACCTTCCTTTATTCAGAGCAGTTTTGAAACACTCTTTTTGTGGAAATTGCAAGTGGAGATTTCAAGCGAATTCACGCCAATCTTAGACATGGAAACATCTTCGTATTAAAAGTACACAGAGTCATTTGCAGAAACTAGTTTGTGATGTGTGCCTTCAACTCACGGAGTTTAACCTTTCTTTTCATAGAGCAGTTTGGAAACACTCTATTTGTAAAGTCTGCAAGTGGATATTTGGACCTCTTTGAGGCCTTCGTTGGAAACGGGATTTCTTCATATAACGCTAGACAGAAGAATTCTCAGTAACTTCTTTGTGTTGTTTGTATTCAACTCACAGATTTGAACCTTCCTTTAGAGAGAGCAGATTTGAAACACTCTGTTTTTGGAATTTGCAAGTGCAGATTACAAGCGCTTCTAGGCCTATGGCAGAAAAGGAAATATCTTCGTATAAAAACTACACAGAATCATTCTCAGAAAACACTTTGTGATGTGTGTGTTCAACTCACAGAGTTTAACCTTTCTTTAATCGAGCAGTTTGGAAATACACTCTTTGTAAGTCTGCAGCTGGATAATTGTCCCTCTATGAGCCCTTCGTTGGAAACGGGATTTCCTCTTATAATGCTAGACAGAAGAATTCTCAGTCACTTCTTTGTGTTGTGTGTATTCAAGTCACAGAGTTGAACCTTCCTTTAGACAGAGCAGTTTTGAAAAATTCTTTCTGTGGAGTTTGCAAGTGGAGATTTCAAGCGATTTGAGGCTAATCTTTGAAATGGAAATATCTTCGTGTAAAAACTACACAGAATCATTCTCAGAAACTGCTTTGTTATGTGTGCGTTCAGCTCACAGAGTTCCACCTTTCTTTTCATAGAGCAGTTTGGAAAGACTCTGTCTGTAAAGTCTGCAAGTGATTACTTGGACCCCTTTGAGGACTTCGTTGGAAGCGGGATTTTTTCATTTACTGCTAGACAGAAGAATTCTCAGTAAATCCTTTGTGTTGTGTGTATTCAACTCACAGAGTGGAACCTTCCTTTATTCAGAGCAGTTTTGAAACACTCTTTTTGTGGAATTTGCAAGTGGAGATTTCAAGCGATTTGACGCCAATCTTAGACATGGAAATATCTTCATATTAAAAGTACACGGAGTCATTCGTAGAAACTAGTTTGTGATGTGTGCCTTCAACTCACAGAGTTTAACCTTTCTTTTCATAGAGCAGTTGGGAAACACTCTATTTGTAAAGTCTGCAAGTGGATATTTGGACCTCTTTGAGGCCTTCGTTGGAAACGGGATTTCTTCATACAACGCTAGACAGAAGAATTCTCAGTAACTTCTTTGTGTTGTGTGTATTTAACTCACAGAGTTGAACCTTTCTTTAGAGAGAGCAGAGTTGAAACACTCTGTTTTTGGAATTTGCAACTGCAGATTTCAAGCGATTCTAGGCCTATGGCAGAAAAGGAAATATCTTCGTATAAAAACTACACAGAATCATTCTCAGAAAACACTTTGTGATGTGTGTGTTCAACTCACAGAGTTTAACCTTTCTTTAATCGAGCAGTTTGGAAATACACTCTTTGTAAGTCTGCAGGTGGATAATTGGCCCTCTTTGAGCCCTTCGTTAGAAACGGGATTTCCTCATATAATGGTAGACAGAAGAATTCTCAGTAACTTCTTTGTGTTGTTTGTATTCAACTCACAGATTTGAACCTTCCTTTAGAGAGAGCAGATTTGAAACACTCTGTTTTTGGAATTTGCAAGTGCAGATTTCAAGCGCTTCTAGGCCTATGGCAGAAAAGGAAATATCTTCGTATAAAAACTACACAGAATCATTCTCAACAACTACTTTGTGATGTGTGCGTTCAACTCACAGAGTTTAACCTTTCTTTTCATAGAGCAGTTTGGAAACACTCTGTTTGTAAAGTCTGCAGGTGCTTATTTGGACTTCTTTGAGGCCTTCGTTGGAAACGGGATTTCTTCATATAATGCTAGACAGAAGAATTCTCAGTCACTTCTTTGTGTTGTGTGTATTCAAGTCAAAGAGTTGAACCTTCCTTTACACAGAGCAGTTTTGAAAAACTCTTTCTGTGGAATTTGCAAGTGGAGATTTCAAGCGATTTGAGGCTAATCTTTGAAATGGAAATATCTTCGTTTAAAAACTACACAGAATCATTCTCAGAAACTGCTTTGTTATGTGTGCGTTCAGCTCACAGAGTTCCACCTTTCTTTTCATAGAGCAGTTTGGAAAGACTCTGTCTGTAAAGTCTGCAAGTGATTACTTGGACCCCTTTGAGGACTTCGTTGGAAGCGGGATTTTTTCATTTACTGCTAGACAGAAGAATTCTCAGTAAATCCTTTGTGTTGTGTGTATTCAACTCACAGAGTGGAACCTTCCTTTATTCAGAGCAGTTTTGAAACACTCTTTTTGTGGAATTTGCAAGTGGAGATTTCAAGCGAATTCACGCCAATCTTAGACATGGAAACATCTTCGTATTAAAAGTACACAGAGTCATTCGCAGAAACTAGTTTGTCATGTGTGCCTTCAACTCACAGAGTTTAACCTTTCTTTTCATAGAGCAGTTTGGAAACACTCTATTTGTAAAGTCTGCAAGTGGATATTTGGACCTCTTTGAGGCCTTCGTTGGAAACGGGATTTCTTCATATAACGCTAGACAGAAGAATTCTCAGTAACTTCTTTGTGTTGTTTGTATTCAACACACAGATTTGAACCTTCCTTTAGAGAGAGCAGATTTGAAACACTCTGTTTTTGGAATTTGCAAGTGCAGATTTCAAGCGCTTCTAGGCCTATGGCAGAAAAGGAAATATCTTCGTATAAAAACTACACAGAATCATTCTCAACAACTACTTTGTGATGTGTGCGTTCAACTCACAGAGGTTAACCTTTCTTTTCAGAGAGCAGTTTGGAAACACTCTGTTTGTAAAGCCTGCAAGTGCTTTTTTGGACTTCATTGAGGCCTTCGTTGGAAACGGGATTTCTTCATACAACGCTAGACAGAAGAATTCTCAGTAACTTCTTTGTGTTGTGTGTATTCAACTCACAGAGTTGAACCTTTCTTTAGAGAGAACAGAGTTGAAACACTCTGTTTTTGGAATTTGCAAGTGCAGATTTCAAGCGATTCTAGGCCTATGGCAGAAAAGGAAATATCTTCGTAGAAAAACTACACAGAATCATTCTCAACAACTACTTTGTGATGTGTGCGTTCAACTCACAGAGTTTAACCTTTCTTTTCATAGAGCAGTTTGGAAACACTCTGTTTGTAAAGCCTGCAAGTGCTTTTTTGGACTTCATTGAGGCCTTCGTTGGAAACGGGATTTCTTCATATAACGCTAGACAGAAGAATTCTCAGTCACTTCTTTGTGTTGTGTGTATTCAAGTCACAGAGTTGGACCTTCCTTTACACAGAGCAGTTTTGAAAAACTCTTTCTGTGGAATTTGCAAGTGGAGATTTCAAGCTATTTGAGGCTAATCTTTGAAATGGAAATAGCTTCGTGTAAAAACTACACAGAATCATTCTCAGAAACTGCTTTGTTATGTGTGCGTTCAGCTCACAGAGTTCCACCTTTCTTTTCATAGAGCAGTTTGGAAAGACTCTGTCTGTAAAGTCTGCAAGTGATTACTTGGACCCCTTTGAGGACTTCGTTGGAAGCGGGATTTTTTCATTTACTGCTAGACAGAAGAATTCTCAGTAAATCCTTTGTGTTGTGTGTATTCAACTCACAGAGTGGAACCTTCCTTTATTCAGAGCACTTTTGAAAAACACTTTTTGTGGAATTTGCAAGTGGAGATTTCAAGCGATTTGACGCCAATCTTAGACATGGAAATATCTTCATATTAAAAGTACACAGAATCATTCTCAGAAAACACTTTGTGATGTGTGTGTTCAACTCACAGAGTTTAACCTTTCTTTAATCGAGCAGTTTGGAAATACACTCTTTGTAAGTCTGCAGCTGGATAATTGTCCCTACTATGAGCCCTTCGTTGGAAACGGGATTTCCTCATATAATGCTAGACAGAAGAATTCTGAGTAACTTCTTTGTGTTGTTTGAATTCAACTCACTGATTTGAACCTTCCTTTAGAGAGAGCAGATTTGAAACCCTCTGTTTTTGGAATTTGCAAGTGCAGATTTCAAGCGCTTCTAGGCCTATGGCAGAAAAGGAAATATCTTCGTATAAAAACTACACAGAATCATTCTCAACAACTACTTTGTGATGTGCGCGTTCAACTCACAGAGTTTAACCTTTCTTTTCATAGAGCAGTTTGGAAACACTCTGTAAAGTCTGCAAGTGCTTATTTGGACTTCTTTGAGGCCTTCGTTGGAAACGGGAGTTCTTCATATAATGCTAGACAGAAGAATTCTCAGTCACTTCTTTGTGTTGTGTGTATTCAAGTCACAGAGTTGAACCTTCCTTTACACAGAGCAGTTTTGAAAAACTCTTTCAGTGGAATTTGCAAGTGGAGATTTCAAGCGATTTGAGGCTAATCTTTGAAATGGAAATATCTTCGTGTAAAAACTACACAGAATCATTCTCAGAAACTGCTTTGTCATCTGTGCGTTCAGTTCACAGAGTTTCACCTTTCTCTTCATAGAGCAGTTTGGAAAGACTCTGTCTGTAAAGTCTGCAAGTGATTAGTTAGACCCCTTTGAGGCCTTCGTTGGAAGCGGGATTTCTCATTTACTGCTAGACAGAAGAATTCTCAGTAAATCCTTTGTGTTGTGTGTATTCAACTCACAGAGTGGAACCTTCCTTTATTCAGAGCAGTTTTGAAACACTCTTTTTGTGGAATTTGCAAGTGGAGATTTCAAGCGATTTGACGCCAATCTTAGACATGGAAATATCTTCATATTAAAAGTACACAGAGTCATTCGTAGAAACTAGTTTGTGATGTGTGCCTTCAACTCACAGAGTTTAACCTTTCTTTTCATAGAGCAGTTTGGAAACACTCTATTTGTAAAGTCTGCAAGTGGATATTTGGACCTCTTTGAGGCCTTCGTTGGAAACGGGATTTCTTCATACAACGCTAGACAGAAGAATTCTCAGTAACTTCTTTGTGTTGTTTGTATTCAACTCACAGAGTTGAACCTTTCTTTAGAGAGAGCAGAGTTGAAACACTCTGTTTTTGGAATTTGCAAGTGCAGATTTCAAGCGATTCTAGGCCTATGGGAGAAAAGGAAATATCTTCGTATAAAAACTACACAGAATCATTCTCAGAAAACACTTTGTGATGTGTGTGTTCAACTCACAGAGTTTAACCTTTCTTTAATCGAGCAGTTTGGAAATACACTCTTTGTAAGTCTGCAGCTGGATAATTGTCCCTCTATGAGCCCTTCGTTGGAAACGGGATTTCCTCTTATAATGCTAGACAGAAGAATTCTCAGTCACTTCTTTGTGTTGTGTGTATTCAAGTCACAGAGTTGAACCTTCCTTTACACAGAGCAGTTTTGAAAAACTCTTTCTGTGGAATTTGCAAGTGGAGATTTCAAGCGATTTGAGGCTAATCTTTGAAATGGAAATAGCTTCGTGTAAAAACCACACAGAAATCATTCTCAGAAACTGCTTTGTCATCAGTGCGTTCAGTTCACAGAGTTTCACCTTTCTCTTCATAGAGCAGTTTGGAAAGACTCTGTCTGTAAAGTCTGCAAGTGATTAGTTAGACCCCTTTGAGGCCTTCGTTGAAAGCGGGATTTCTCATTTACTGCTAGACAGAAGAATTCTCAGTAAATCCTTTGTGTTGTGTGTATTCAACTCACAGAGTGGAACCTTCCTTTATTCAGAGCAGTTTTGAAAAACACTTTTTGTGGAATTTGCAAGTGGAGATTTCAAGCGATTTGACGCCAATCTTAGACATGGAAATATCTTCATATTAAAAGTACACAGAGTCATTCGTAGAAACTAGTTTGTGATGTGTGCCTTCAACTCACAGAGTTTAACCTTTCTTTTCATAGAGCAGTTGGGAAACACTCTATTTGTAAAGTCTGCAAGTGGATATTTGGACCTCTTTGAGGCCTTCGTTGGAAATGGGATTTCTTCATACAACACTAGACAGAAGAATTCTCAGTAACTTCTTTGTGTTGTTTGTATTCAACTCACAGATTTGAACCTTCCTTTAGAGAGAGCAGATTTGAAACACTCTGGTTTTGGAATTTGCAAGTGCAGATTACAAGCGCTTCTAGGCCTATGGCAGAAAAGGAAATATCTTCGTATAAAAACTACACAGAATCATTCTCAACAACTACTTTGTGATGTGTGCGTTCAACTCACAGAGTTTAACCTTTCTTTTCATAGAGCAGTTTGGAAACACTCTGTTTGTAAAGTCTGCCGGTGCTTATTTGGACTTCTTTGAGGCCTTCGTTGGAAACGGGATTTCTTCATATAATGCTAGACAGAAGAATTCTCAGTCACTTCTTTGTGTTGTGTGTATTCAAGTCACAGAGTTGAACCTTCCTTTACACAGAGCAGTTTTGAAAAACTCTTTCTGTGGAATTTGCAAGTGGAGATTTCAAGCGATTTGAGGCTAATCTTTGAAATGGAAATATCTTCGTGTAAAAACTACACAGAATCATTCTCAGAAACTGCTTTGTTATGTGTGCGTTCAGCTCACAGAGTTCCACCTTTGTTTTCATAGAGCAGTTTGGAAAGACTCTGTAAAGTCTGCAAGTGATTACTTGGACCCCTTTGAGGACTTCGTTGGAAGCGGGATTTTTTCATTTACTGCTAGACAGAAGAATTCTCAGTAAATCCTTTGTGTTGTGTGTATTCAACTCACAGAGTGGAACCTTCCTTTATTCAGAGCAGTTTTGAAACACTCTTTTTGTGGAATTTGCAAGTGGAGATTTCAAGCGAATTCACGCCAATCTTAGACATGGAAACATCTTCGTATTAAAAGTACACAGAGTCATTCGCAGAAACTAGTTTGTGATGTGTGCGTTCAACTCACAGAGTTTAACCTTTCTTTTCATAGAGCAGTTTGGAAACACTCTGTTTGTAAAGTCTGCAGGTGCTTATTTGGACTTCTTTGAGGCCTTCGTTGGAAACGGGATTTCTTCATATAATGCTAGACAGAAGAATTCTCAGTCACTTCTTTGTGTTGTGTGTATTCAAGTCACAGAGTTGAACCTTCCTTTACACAGAGCAGTTTTGAAAAACTCTTTCTGTGGAATTTGCAAGTGGAGATTTCAAGCGATTTGAGGCTAATCTTTGAAATGGAAATATCTTCGTGTAAAAACTACACAGAAACATTCTCAGAAACTGCTTTGTTATGTGTGCGTTCAGCTCACAGAGTTCCACCTTTCTTTTCATAGAGCAGTTTGGAAAGACTATGTCTGTAAAGTCTGCAAGTGATTACTTGGACCCCTTTGAGGACTTCGTTGGAAGCGGGATTTTTTCATTTACTGCCAGACAGAAGAATTCTCAGTAAATCCTTTGTGTTGTGTGTATTCAACTCACAGAGTGGAACCTTCCTTTATTCAGAGCAGTTTTGAAAAACACTTTTTGTGGAATTTGCAAGTGGAGATTTCAAGCGATTTGACGCCAATCTTAGACATGGAAATATCTTCATATTAAAAGTACACAGAGTCATTCGTAGAAACTAGTTTGTGATGTGTGCCTTCAACTCACAGAGTTTAACCTTTCTTTTCATAGAGCAGTTTGGAAACACTCTGTTTGTAAAGTCTGCAAGTGGATATTTGGACCTCTTTGAGGCCTTCGTTGGAAACGGGATTTCTTCATACAACGCTAGACAGAAGAATTCTCAGTAACTTCTTTGTGTTGTGTGTATTCAACTCACAGAGTTGAACCTTTCTTTAGAGAGAGCAGAGTTGAAACACTCTGTTTTTGGAATTTGCAAGTGCAGATTTCAAGCGATTCTAGGCCTATGGCAGAAAAGGAAATATCTTCGTATAAAAACTACACAGAATCATTCTCAGAAAACACTTTGTGATGTGTGTGTTCAACTCACAGAGTTTAACCTTTCTTTAATCGAGCAGTTTGGAAATACACTCTTTGTAAGTCTGCAGCTGGATAATTGTCCCTCTATGAGCCCTTCGTTGGAAACAGGATTTCCTCTTATAATGCTAGACAGAAGAATTCTCAGTCACTTCTTTGTGTTGTGTGTATTCAAGTCACAGAGTTGAACCTTCCTTTACACAGAGCAGTTTTGAAAAACTCTTTCTGTGGAATTTGCAAGTGGAGATTTCAAGCGATTTGAGGCTAATCTTTGAAATGGAAATATCTTCGTGTAAAAACTACACAGAATCATTCTCAGAAACTGCTTTGTTATGTGTGCGTTCAGCTCACAGAGTTCCACCTTTCTTTTCATAGAGCAGTTTGGAAAGACTCTGTCTGTAAAGTCTGCAAGTGATTACTTGGACCCCTTTGAGGACTTCGTTGGAAGCGGGATTTTTTCATTTACTGCTAGACAGAAGAATTCTCAGTAAATCCTTTGTGTTGTGTGTATTCAACTCACAGAGTGGAACCTTCCTTTATTCAGAGCAGTTTTGAAAAACACTTTTTGTGGAATTTGCAAGTGGAGATTTCAAGCGATTTGACGCCAATCTTAGACATGGAAATATCTTCATATTAAAAGTACACAGAGTCATTCGTAGAAACTGGTTTGTGATGTGTGCCTTCAACTCACAGAGTTTAACCTTTCTTTTCATAGAGCAGTTGGGAAACACTCTATTTGTAAAGTCTGCAAGTGGATATTTGGACCTCTTTGAGGCCTTCGTTGGAAACGGGATTTCTTCATACAACGCTAGACAGAAGAATTCTCAGTAACTTCTTTGTGTTGTTTGTATTCAACTCACAGATTTGAACCTTCCTTTAGAGAGAGCAGATTTGAAACACTCTGTTTTTGGAATTTGCAAGTGCAGATTACAAGCGCTTCTAGGCCTATGGCAGAAAAGGAAATATCTTCGTATAAAAACTACACAGAATCATTCTCAACAACTACTTTGTGATGTGTGCGTTCAACTCACAGAGTTTAACCTTTCTTTTCATAGAGTAGTTTGGAAACACTCTGTTTGTAAAGACTGCAAGTGCTTTTTTGGACTTCATTGAGGCCTTCGTTGGAAACGGGATTTCTTCATATAATGCTAGACAGAAGAATTCTCAGTCACTTCTTTGTGTTGTGTGTATTCAAGTCACAGAGTTGAACCTTCCTTTAGACAGAGCAGTTTTGAAAAATTCTTTCTGTGGAATTTGCAAGTGGAGATTTCAAGCGATTTGAGGCTAATCTTTGAAATGGAAATATCTTCGTGTAAAAACTACACAGAATCATTCTCAGAAACTGCTTTGTTATGTGTGCGTTCAGCTCACAGAGTTCCACCTTTCTTTTCATAGAGCAGTTTGGAAAGACTCTGTCTGTAAAGTCTGCAAGTGATTACTTGGACCCCTTTGAGGACTTCGTTGGAAGCGGGATTTTTTCATTTACTGCTAGACAGAAGAATTCTCTGTAAATCCTTTGTGTTGTGTGTATTCAACTCACAGAGTGGAACCTTCCTTTATTCAGAGCAGTTTTGAAACACTCTTTTTGTGGAATTTGCAAGTGGAGATTTCAAGCGATTTGACGCCAATCTTAGACATGGAAATATCTTCATATTAAAAGTACACAGAAGTCATTCGTAGAAACTAGTTTGTGATGTGTGCCTTCAACTCACAGGAGTTTAACCTTTCTTTTCATAGAGCAGTTGGGAAACACTCTATTTGTAAAGTCTGCAAGTGGATATTTGGACCTCTTTGAGGCCTTCGTTGGAAACGGGATTTCTTCATATAACGCTAGACAGAAGAATTCTCAGTAACTTCTTTGTGTTGTGTGTATTCAACTCACAGAGTTGAACCTTTCTTGAGAGAGAGCAGAGTTGAAACACTCTGTTTGTGGAATTTGCTAGTGCAGATTTCAAACGCTTCGAAGACAGTGATAGAAAAGGATATATCTTCGTATTAAAACTAGACAAAATCATTCTCAGAAAACACTTTGTGATGTGTGTGTTCAACTCACAGAGTTTAACCTTTCTTTAATCGAGCAGTTTGGAAATACACTCTTTGTAAGTCTGCAGCTGGATAATTGTCCCTCTATGAGCCCTTCGTTGGAAACGGGATTTCCTCTTATAATGCTAGACAGAAGAATTCTCAGTCACTTGTTTGTGTTGTGTGTATTCAAGTCACAGAGTTGAACCTTCCTTTAGACAGAGCAGTTTTGAAAAATTCTTTCTGTGGAGTTTGCAAGTGGAGATTTCAAGCGATTTGAGGCTAATCTTTGAAATGGAAATATCTTCGTGTAAAAACTACACAGAAGCATTCTCAGAAACTGCTTTGTCATCTGTGCGTTCAGTTCACAGAGTTTCACCTTTCTCTTCATAGAGCAGTTTGGAAAGACTCTGTCTTTAAAGTCTGCAAGTGATTAGTTAGACCCCTTTGAGGCCTTCGTTGGAAGCGGGACTTCTCATTTACTGCTAGACAGAAGAATTCTCAGTAAATCCTTTGTGTTGTGTGTATTCAACTCACAGAGTGGAACCTTCCTTTATTCAGAGCAGTTTTGAAACACTCTTTTTGTGGAATTTGCAAGTGGAGATTTCAAGCGAATTCACGCCAATCTTAGACATGGAAACATCTTCGTATTAAAAGTACACAGAGTCATTCGCAGAAACTAGTTTGAGATGTGTGCCTTCAACTCACGGAGTTTAACCTTTCTTTTCATAGAGCAGTTTGGAAACACTCTATTTGTAAAGTCTGCAAGTGGATATTTGGACCTCTTTGAGGCCTTCGTTGGAAACGGGATTTCTTCATATAACGCTAGACAGAAGAATTCTCAGTAACTTCTTTGTGTTGTTTGTATTCAACTCACAGATTTGAACCTTCCTTTGGAGAGAGCAGATTTGAAACACTCTGTTTTTGGAATTTGCAAGTGCAGATTGCAAGCGCTTCTAGGCCTATGGCAGAAAAGGAAATATCTTCGTATAAAAACTACACAGAATCATTCTCAACAACTACTTTGTGATGTGTGCGTTCAACTCACAGAGTTTAACCTTTCTTTTCATAGAGCAGTTTGGAAACACTCTGTTTGTAAAGTCTGCAGGTGCTTATTTGGACTTCTTTGAGGCCTTCGTTGGAAACGGGATTTCTTCATATAATGCTAGACAGAAGAATTCTCAGTCACTTCTTTGTGTTGTGTGTATTCAAGTCGCAGAGTTGAACCTTCCTTTACACAGAGCAGTTTTGAAAAACTCTTTCTGTGGAATTTGCAAGGGGAGATTTCAAGCGATTTGAGGCTAATCTTTGAAATGGAAATATCTTCATGTAAAAACTACACAGAATCATTCTCAGAAACTGCTTTGTTATGTGTGCGTTCAGCTCACAGAGTTCCACCTTTCTTTTCATAGGGCAGTTTGGAAAGACTCTGTCTGTGAAGTCTGCAAGTGATTACTTGGACCCCTTGGAGGACTTCGTTGGAAGCGGGATTTTTTCATTTACTGCTAGACAGAAGAATTCTCAGTAAATCCTTTGTGTTGTGTGTATTCAACTCACAGAGTGGAACCTTCCTTTATTCAGAGCAGTTTTGAAACACTCTTTTTGTGGAATTTGCAAGTGGAGATTTCAAGCGAATTCACGCCAATCTTAGACATGGAAACATCTTCGTATTAAAAGTACACAGAGTCATTCGCAGAAACTAGTTTGAGATGTGTGCCTTCAACTCACGGAGTTTAACCTTTCTTTTCATAGAGCAGTTTGGAAACACTCTATTTGTAAAGTCTGCAAGTGGATATTTGGACCTCTTTGAGGCCTTCGTTGGAAACGGGATTTCTTCATATAACGCTAGACAGAAGAATTCTCAGTAACTTCTTTGTGTTGTGTGTATTCAACTCACAGAGTTGAACCTTTCTTTAGAGAGAACAGAGTTGAAACACTCTGTTTTTGGAATTTGCAAGTGCAGATTTCAAGCGATTCTAGGCCTATGGCAGAAAAGGAAATATCTTCGTATAAAAACTACCCAGAATCATTCTCAACAACTACTTTGTGATGTGTGCGTTCAACTTCACAGAGTTTAACCTTTCTTTTCATAGAGCAGTTTGGAAACACTCTGTTTGTAAAGCCTGCAAGTGCTTTTTTGGACTTCATTGAGGCCTTCGTTGGAAACGGGATTTCTTCATATAATGCTAGACAGAAGAATTCTCAGTCACTTCTTTGTGTTGTGTGTATTCAAGTCACAGAGTTGAACCTTCCTTTAGACAGAGCAGTTTTGAAAAATTCTTTCTGTGGAGTTTGCAAGTGGAGATTTCAAGCGATTTGAGGCTAATCTTTGAAATGGAAATATCTTCGTGTAAAAACTACACAGAATCATTCTCAGAAACTGCTTTGTCATCTGTGCGTTCAGTTCACAGAGTTTCACCTTTCTCTTCATAGAGCAGTTTGGAAAGACTCTGTCTGTAAAGTCTGCAAGTGATTAGTTAGAACCCTTTGAGGCCTTCGTTGGAAGCGGGATTTCTCATTTACTGCTATACAGAAGAATTCTCAGTAAATCCTTTGTGTTGTGTGTATTCAACTCACAGAGTGGAACCTTCCTTTATTCAGAGCAGTTTTGAAACACTCTTTTTGTGGAATTTGCAAGTGGAGATTTCAAGCGAATTCACGCCAATCTTAGACATGGAAACATCTTCGTATTAAAAGTACACAGAGTCATTCGTAGAAACTAGTTTGTGATGTGTGCCTTCAACTCACAGAGTTTAACCTTTCTTTTCATAGAGCAGTTTGGAAACACTCTGTTTGTAAAGCCTGCAAGTGCTTTTTTGGACTACATTGAGGCCTTCGTTGGAAACGGGATTTCTTCATACAACGCTAGACAGAAGAATTCTCACTAACTTCTTTGTGTTGTGTGTATTCAACTCACAGAGTTGAACCTTTCTTTAGAGAGAGCAGAGCTGAAACACTCTGTTTTTGGAATTTGCAAGGGGAGATTTCAAGCGATTACTAGGCCTATGGCAGAAAAGGAATTATCTTCGTATAAAAACTACACAGAATCATTCTCAACAACTACTTTGTGATGTGTGCGCTCCACTCACAAAGTTTAACCTTTCTTTTCATAGAGCAGTTTGGAAACACTCTGCTTGTAAAGCCTGCCAGTGCCTTTTTCGACTTCATTGAGGCCTTCGTTGGAAACGGGATTTCTTCATATAATGCTAGACAGAAGAATTCTCAGTAAATCCTTTGTGTTGTGTTTATTCAACTCACAGAGTGGAACCTTCCTTTATTCAGAGCAGTTTTGAAACACTCTTTTTGTGGAATTTGCAAGTGGAGATTTCAAGCGATTTGACGCCAATCTTAGACATGGAAATATCTTCATATTAAAAGTACACAGAATCATTCGTAGAAACTAGTTTGTGATGTGTGCCTTCAACTCACAGAGTTTAACCTTTCTTTTCATAGAGCAGTTCGGAAACATTCTATTTGTAAAGTCTGCAAGTGGATATTTGGACCTCTTTGAGGCCTTCGTTGGAAAAGGGATTTCTTCATATAACGCTAGACAGAAGAATTCTCAGTAACTTCTTTGTGTTGTGTGTATTCAACTCACAGAGTTGAACCTTTCTTTAGAGAGAGCAGAGTTGAAACACTCTTTTTGTGGAATTTGCTAGTGCAGATTTCAAACGCTTCGAAGACAGTGATAGAAAAGGATATATCTTCGTATTAAAAGTAGACAAAATCATTCTCAGAAAACTCTTTGTGATGTGTGTGTTCAACTCACAGAGTTTAACCTTTCTTTTCATAGAGCAGTTTGGAAACACTCTGTTTGTAAAGCCTGCAAGTGCTTTTTTGGACTTCATTGAGGCCTTCGTTGGAAACGGGATTTCTTCATACAACGCTAGACAGAAGAATTCTCAGTAACTTCTTTGTGTTGTGTGTATTCAACTCACAGAGTTGAACCTTTCTTTAGAGAGAGCAGAGTTGAAACACTCTGTTTTTGGAATTTGCAACTGCAGATTTCAAGCGATTCTAGGCCTATGGCAGAAAAGGAAATATCTTCGTATAAAAACTACACAGAATCATTCTCAACAACTACTTTGTGATGTGTGTGTTCAACTCACAGAGTTTAACCTTTCTTTTCATAGAGCAGTTTGGAAACACTCTGTTTGTAAAGCCTGCAAGTGCTTTTTTGAACTTCATTGAGGCCTTCGTTGGAAACGGGATTTCTTCATACAACGCTAGACAGAAGAATTCTCAGTAACTTCTTTGTGTTGTGTGTATTCAACTCACAGAGTTGAATCTTCCTTTAGAGAGAGCAGAGTTGAAACACTCTGTTTTTGGAATTTGCAAGTGCAGATTTCAAGCGCTTCTAGGCCTATGGCAGAAAAGGAAATATCTTCGTATAAAAACTACACAGAATCATTCTCAACAACTACTTTGTGATGTGTGCGTTCAACTCACAGAGTTTAACCTTTCTTTTCATAGAGCAGTTTGGAAACACTCTGTTTGTAAAGCCTGCAAGTGCTTTTTTGGACTTCATTGAGGCCTTCGTTGGAAACGGGATTTCTTCATATAATGCTAGACAGAAGAATTCTCAGTCACTTGTTTGTGTTGTGTGTATTCAAGTCACAGAGTTGAACCTTCCTTTAGACAGAGCAGTTTTGAAAAATTCTTTCTGTGGAGTTTGCAAGTGGAGATTTCAAGCGATTTGAGGCTAATCTTTGAAATGGAAATATCTTCGTGTAAAAACTACACAGAATCATTCTCAGAAACTGCTTTGTTATGTGTGCGTTCAGCTCGCAGAGTTCCACCTTTCTTTTCATAGAGCAGTTTGGAAAGACTCTGTCTGTAAAGTCTGCAAGTGATTACTTGGACCCCTTTGAGGACTTCGTTGGAAGCGGGATTTTTTCATTTACTGCTAGACAGAAGAATTCTCAGTAAATCCTTTGTGTTGTGTGTATTCAACTCACAGAGTGGAACCTTCCTTTATTCAGAGCAGTTTTGAAACACTCTTTGTGGAATTTGCAAGTGGAGATTTCAAGCGAATTCACGCCAATCTTAGACATGGAAATATCTTCGTATTAAAAGTACACAGAATCATTCTCAGAAAAACACTTTGTGATGTGTGTGTTCAACTCACAGAGTTTAACCTTTCTTTAATCGAGCAGTTTGGAAATACACTCTTTGTAAGTCTGCAGCTGGATAATTGTCCCTCTATGAGCCCTTCGTTGGAAACGGGATTTCCTCATATAATGCTAGACAGAAGAATTCTCAGTAAATCCCTTGTGTTGTGTGTATTCAACTCACAGAGTGGAACCTTCCTTTAGAGAGAGCAGAGTTGAAACACTCTGTTTTTGGAATTTGCAAGTGCAGATTTCAAGCGATTCTAGGCCTATGGCAGAAAAGGAAATATCTTCGTATAAAAACTACACAGAAATCATTCTCAACAACTACTTTGTGATGTGTGCGTTCAACTCAGAGAGTTTAAACTTTCTTTTCATAGAGCAGTTTGGAAACACTCTGTTTGTAAAGCCTGCAAGTGCTTTTTTGGACTTCATTGAGGCCTTCGTTGGAAACGGGATTTCTTCATATAATGCTAGACAGAAGAATTCTCAGTCACTTCTTTGTGTTGTGTGTATTCAAGTCACAGAGTTGAACCTTCCTTTACACAGAGCAGTTTTGAAAAACTCTTTCTGTGGAATTTGCAAGTGGAGATTTCAAGCGATTTGAGGCTAATCTTTGAAATGGAAATAGCTTCGTGTAAAAACCACACAGAATCATTCTCAGAAACTGCTTTGTTATCTGTGCGTTCAGTTCACAGAGTTTCACCTTTCTCTTCATAGAGCAGTTTGGAAACACTCTGTCTGTAAAGTCTGCAAGTGATTAGTTAGACCCCTTTGAGGCCTTCATTGGAAGCGGGATTTCTCATTTACTGCTAGACAGAAGAATTCTCAGTAAATCCTTTGTGTTGTGTGTATTCAACTCACAGAGTTGAACCTTCCTTTATTCAGAGAAGTTTTGAAAAACACTTTTTGTGGAATTTGCAAGTGGAGATTTCAAGAGATTTGACGCCAATCTTAGACGTGGAAATATATTCATATTAAAAGTACACAGAGTCATTCGTAGAAACTAGTTTGTGATGTGTGCCTTCATCTCACAGAGTTTAACCTTTCTTTTCATAGAGCAGTTTGGAAACACTCTATATGTAAAGTCTGCAAGTGGATATTTGGACCTCTTTGAGGCCTTCGTTGGAAACGGGATTTCTTCATATAACGCTAGACAGAAGAATTCTCAGTAACTTCTTTGTGTTGTGTGTATTCAACTCACAGAGTTGAACCTTTCTTTAGAGAGAGCAGAGTTGAAACACTCTGTTTTTGGAATTTGCAAGTGCAGATTTCAAGCGATTCTAGGCCTATGGCAGAAAAGGAAATATCTTCGTATAAAAACTACACAGAATCATTCTCAACAACTACTTTGTGATGTGTGCGTTCAACTCACAGAGTTTAACCTTTCTTTTCATAGAGCAGTTTGGAAACACTCTGTTTGTAAAGTCTGCAGGTGCTTATTTGGACTTCTTTGAGGCCTTCGTTGGAAACGGGATTTCTTCATATAATGCTAGACAGAAGAATTCTCAGTCACTTCTTTGTGTTGTGTGTATTCAAGTCACAGAGTTGAACCTTCCTTTACACAGAGCAGTTTTGAAAAACTCTTTCTGTGGAATTTGCAAGTGGAGATTTCAAGCGATTTGAGGCTAATCTTTGAAATGGAAATATCTTCGTGTAAAAACTACACAGAATCATTGTCAGAAACTGCTTTGTTATGTGTGCGTTCAGCTCACAGAGTTCCACCTTTCTTTTCATAGAGCAGTTTGGAAAGACTCTGTCTGTAAAGTCTGCAAGTGATTACTTGGACCCCTTTGAGGACTTCGTTGGAAGCGGGATTTTTTCATTTACTGCTAGACAGAAGAATTCTCAGTAAATCCTTTGTGTTGTGTGTATTCAACTCACAGAGTGGAACCTTCCTTTATTCAGAGCAGTTTTGAAACACTCTTTTTGTGGAATTTGCAAGTGGAGATTTCAAGCGAATTCACGCCAATCTTAGACATGGAAACATCTTCGTATTAAAAGTACACAGAGTCATTCGCAGAAACTAGTTTGTGATGTGTGCCTTCAACTCACAGAGTTTAAGCTTTCTTTTCATAGAGCAGTTTGGAAACACTCTATTTGTAAAGTCTGCAAGTGGATATTTGGACCTCTTTGAGGCCTTCGTTGGAAACGGGATTTCTTCATATAACGCTAGACAGAAGAATTCTCAGTAACTTCTTTGTGTTGTGTGTATTCAACTCACAGAGTTGAACCTTTCTTTAGAGGGAGCAGAGGTGAAACAGTCTTTTTGTGGAATTTGCCAGTGTAGATTTCAAACGCTTCGAAGTCAGTGATAGAAAAGGAGATATCTTCGTATTAAAAGTAGACAAAATCATTCTCAGAAAACTCTTTGTGATGTGTGTGTTCAACTCACAGAGTTTAACCTTTCTTTAATCGAGCAGTTTGGAAATACACTCTTTGTAAGTCTGCAGGTGGATATTTGGCCCTCTTTGAGCCCTTCGTTGGAAACGGGATTTCCTCATATAATGCTAGACAGAAGAATTCTCAGTCACTTCTTTGTGTTGTGTGTATTCAAGTCACAGAGTTGAACCTTCCTTTACACAGAGCAGTTTTGAAAAACTCTTTCTGTGGAATTTGCAAGTGGAGATTTCAAGCGATTTGAGGCTAATCTTTGAAATGGAAATATCTTCGTGTAAAAACTACACAGAATCATTCTCAGAAACTGCTTTGTTATGTGTGCGTTCAGCTCACAGAGTTCCACCTTTCTTTTCATAGAGCAGTTTGGAAAGACTCTGTCTGTAAAGTCTGCAAGTGATTACTTGGACCCCTTTGAGGACTTCGTTGGAAGCGGGATTTTTTCATTTACTGCTAGACAGAAGAATTCTCAGTAAATCCTTTGTGTTGTGTGTATTCAACTCACAGAGTGGAACCTTCCTTTATTCAGAGCAGTTTTGAAACACTCTTTTTGTGGAATTTGCAAGTGGAGATTTCAAGCGAATTCACGCCAATCTTAGACATGGAAACATCTTCGTATTAAAAGTACACAGAGTCATTCGTAGAAACTAGTTTGTGATGTGTGCCTTCAACTCACAGAGTTTAACCTTTCTTTTCATAGAGCAGTTTGGAAACACTCTATTTGTAAAGTCTGCAAGTGGATATTTGGACCTCTTTGAGGCCTTCGTTGGAAACGGGATTTCTTCATACAACGCTAGACAGAAGAATTCTCAGTAACTTCTTTGTGTTGTGTGTATTCAACTCACAGAGTTGAACCTTTCTTTAGAGAGAGCAGTGTTGAAACACTCTGTTTTTGGAATTTGCAACTGCAGATTTCAAGCGATTCTAGGCCTATGGCAGAAAAGGAAATATCTTCGTATAAAAACAACACAGAACCATTCTCAACAACTACTTTGTGATGTGTGCGTTCAACTCACAGAGTTTAACCTTTCTTTTCATAGAGCAGTTTGGAAACACTCTGTTTGTAAAGCCTGCAAGTGCTTTTTTGGACTTCATTGAGGCCTTCGTTGGAAACGGGATTTCTTCATGTAATGCTAGACAGAAGAATTCTCAGTCACTTCTTTGTGTTGTGTGTATTCAAGTCACAGAGTTGAACCTTCCTTTACACAGAGCAGTTTTGAAAAACTCTTTCTGTGGAATTTGCAAGTGGAGATTTCAAGCGATTTGAGGCTAATCTTTGAAATGGAAATATCTTCGTGTAAAAACTACACAGAATCATTCTCAGAAACTGCTTTGTTATGTGTGCGTTCAGCTCACAGAGTTCCACCTTTCTTTTCATAGAGCAGTTTGGAAAGACTCTGTCTGTGAAGTGTGCAAGCGATTACTTGGACCCCTTTGAGGACTTCGTTGGAAGCGGGATTTTTTCATTTACTGCTAGACAGAAGAATTCTCAGTAAATCCTTTGTGTTGTGTGTATTCAACTCACAGAGTGGAACCTTCCTTTATTCAGAGCAGTTTTGAAACACTCTTTTTGTGGAATTTGCAAGTGGAGATTTCAAGCGATTTGACGCCAATCTTAGACATGGAAATATCTTCATATTAAAAGTACACAGGAGTCATTCGTAGAAACTTGTTTGTGATGTGTGCCTTCATCTCACAGCGTTTAAACTTTCTTTTCATAGAGCAGTTTGGGAACACTCTGTTTGTAAAGTCTGCAAGTGGATATTTGGACCTCTTTGAGGCCTTCGTTGGAAACGGGATTTCTTCATATAACGCTACACAGAAGAATTCTCAGTAACTTCTTTGTGTTGTGTGTATTCCACTCACAGAGTTGAACCTTTCTTGAGAGAGAGCAGAGTTGAAACACTCTGTTTGTGGAATTTGCTAGTGCAGATTTCAAACGCTTCGAAGACAGTGATAGAAAAGGATATATCTTCGTATTAAAACTAGACAAAATCATTCTCAGAAAACACTTTGTGATGTGTGTGTTCAACTCACAGAGTTTAACCTTTCTTTAATCGAGCAGTTTGGAAATACACTCTTGTAAGTCTGCAGCTGGATAATTGTCCCTCTATGAGCCCTTCGTTGGAAACGGGATTTCCTCTTATAATGCTAGACAGAAGAATTCTCAGTAACTTCTTTGTGTTGTTTGTATTCAACTCACAGATTTGAACCTTCCTTTGGAGAGAGCAGATTTGAAACACTCTGTTTTTGGAATTTGCAAGTGCAGATTGCAAGCGCTTCTAGGCCTATGGCAGAAAAGGAAATATCTTCGTATAAAAACTACACAGAATCATTCTCAACAACTACTTTGTGATGTGTGCGTTCAACTCACAGAGTTTAACCTTTCTTTTCATAGAGCAGTTTGGAAACACTCTGTTTGTAAAGTCTGCAGGTGCTTATTTGGACTTCTTTGAGGCCTTCGTTGGAAACGGGATTTCTTCATATAATGCTAGACAGAAGAATTCTCAGTCACTTCTTTGTGTTGTGTGTATTCAAGTCACAGAGTTGAACCTTCCTTTACACAGAGCAGTTTTGAAAAACTCTTTCTGTGGAATTTGCAACTGGAGATTTCAAGCGATTTGAGGCTAATCTTTGAAATGGAAATATCTTCGTGTAAAAACTACACAGAATCATTCTCAGAAACTGCTTTGTTATGTGTGCGTTCAGCTCACAGAGTTCCACCTTTCTTTTCATAGAGCAGTTTGGAAAGACTCTGTCTGTAAAGTCTGCAAGTGATTACTTGGACCCCTTTGAGGAGTTCGTTGGAAGCGGGATTTTTTCATTTACTGCTAGACAGAAGAATTCTCAGTAAATCCTTTGTGTTGTGTGTATTCAACTCACAGAGTGGAACCTTCCTTTATTCAGAGCACTTTTGAAACACTCTTTTTGTGGAAATTGCAGGTGGAGATTTCAAGCGAATTCACGCCAATCTTAGACATGGAAACATCTTCGTATTAAAAGTACACAGAGTCATTCGCAGAAACTAGTTTGTGATGTGTGCCTTCAACTCACGGAGTTTAACCTTTCTTTTCATAGAGCAGTTTGGAAACACTCTATTTGTAAAGTCTGCAAGTGGATATTTGGACCTCTTTGAGGCCTTCGTTGGAAACGGGATTTCTTCATATAACGCTAGACAGAAGAATTCTCAGTAACTTCTTTGTGTTGTGTGTATTCCACTCACAGAGTTGAACCTTTCTTGAGAGAGAGCAGAGTTGAAACACTCTGTTTGTGGAATTTGCTAGTGCAGATTTCAAACGCTTCGAAGACAGTGATAGAAAAGGATATATCTTCGTATTAAAACTAGACAAAATCATTCTCAGAAAACACTTTGTGATGTGTGTGTTCAACTCACAGAGTTTAACCTTTCTTTAATCGAGCAGTTTGGAAATACACTCTTTGTAAGTCTGCAGCTGGATAATTGTCCCTCTATGAGCCCTTCGTTGGAAACGGGATTTCCTCTTATAATGCTAGACAGAAGAATTCACAGTAACTTCTTTGTGTTGTTTGTATTCAACTCACAGATTTGAACCTTCCTTTAGAGAGAGCAGATTTGAAACACTCTGTTTTTGGAATTTGCAAGTGCAGATTACAAGCGCTTCTAGGCCTATGGCAGAAAAGGAAATATCTTCGTATAAAAACTACACAGAATCATTCTCAACAACTACTTTGTGATGTGTGCGTTCAACTCACAGAGTTTAACCTTTCTTTTCATAGAGCAGTTTGGAAACACTCTGTTTGTAAAGTCTGCAGGTGCTTATTTGGACTTCTTTGAGGCCTTCGTTGGAAACGGGATTTCTTCATGTAATGCTAGACAGAAGAATTCTCAGTCACTTCTTTGTGTTGTGTGTATTCAAGTCACAGAGTTGAACCTTCCTTTAGACAGAGCAGTTTTGAAAAATTCTTTCTGTGGAGTTTGCAAGTGGAGATTTCAAGCGATTTGAGGCTAATCTTTGAAATGGAAATATCTTCGTGTAAAAACTACACAGAATCATTCTCAGAAACTGCTTTGTTATGTGTGCGTTCAGCTCACAGAGTTCCACCTTTCTTTTCATAGAGCAGTTTGGAAAGACTCTGTCTGTAAAGTCTGCAAGTGATTACTTGGACCCCTTTGAGGACTTCGTTGGAAGCGGGATTTTTTCATTTACTGCTAGACAGAAGAATTCTCAGTAAATCCTTTGTGTTGTGTTTATTCAACTCACAGAGTGGAACCTTCTTTTATTCAGAGCAGTTTTGAAACACTCTTTTTGTGGAATTTGCAAGTGGAGATTTCAAGCGATTTGACGCCAATCTTAGACATGGAAATATCTTCATATTAAAAGTACACAGAGTCATTCGTAGAAACTAGTTTGTGATGTGTGCCTTCAACTCACAGAGTTTAACCTTTCTTTTCATAGAGCAGTTTGGAAACACTCTATTTGTAAAGTCTGCAAGTGGATATTTGGACCTCTTTGAGGCCTTCGTTGGAAACGGGATTTCTTCATACAACGCTAGACAGAAGAATTCTCAGTAACTTCTTTGTGCTGTGTGTATTCAACTCACAGAGTTGAACCTTTCTTTAGAGAGAGCAGAGTTGAAACACTCTGTTTTTGGAATTTGCAACTGCAGATTTCAAGCGATTCTAGGCCTATGGCAGAAAAGGAAATATCTTCGTATAAAAACTACACAGAATCATTCTCAACAACTACTTTGTGATGTGTGCGTTCAACTCACAGAGTTTAACCTTTCTTTTCATAGAGCAGTTTGGAAACACTCTGTTTGTAAAGCCTGCAAGTGCTTTTTTGGACTTCATTGAGGCCTTCGTTGGAAACGGGATTTCTTCATATAATGCTAGACAGAAGAATTCTCAGTCACTTCTTTGTGTTGTGTGTATTCAAGTCACAGAGTTGAACCTTCCTTTAGACAGAGCAGTTTTGAAAAATTCTTTCTGTGTAATTTGCAAGTGGAGATTTCAAGCGATTTGAGGCTAATCTTTGAAATGGAAATATCTTCGTGTAAAAACTACACAGAATCATTCTCAGAAACTGCTTTGTCATCTGTGCGTTCAGTTCACAGAGTTTCATCTTTCTCTTCATAGAGCAGTTTGGAAAGACTCTGTCTGTAAAGTCTGCAAGTGATTAGTTAGACCCCTTTGAGGCCTTCGTTGGAAGCGGGATTTCTCATTTACTGCTAGACAGAAGAATTCTCAGTAAATCCTTTGTGTTGTGTGTATTCAACTCACAGAGTGGAACCTTCCTTTATTCAGAGCAGTTTTGAAACACTCTTTTTGTGGAATTTGCAAGTGGAGATTTCAAGCGATTTGACGCCAATCTTAGACATGGAAATATCTTCATATTAAAAGTACACAGAATCATTCTCAGAAAACTCTTTGTGATGTGTGTGTTCAACTCACAGAGTTTAACCTTTCTTTAATCGAGCAGTTTGGAAATACACTCTTTGTAAGTCTGCAGGTGGATATTTGGCCCTCTTTGAGCCCTTCGTTGGAAACGGGATTTCCTCATATAATGCTAGACAGAAGAATTCTCAGTAACTTCTTTGTGTTGTGTGTATTCAACTCACAGAGTTGAACCTTTCTTGAGAGAGAGCAGAGTTGAAACACTCTGTTTGTGGAATTTGCTAGTGCAGATTTCAAACGCTTCGAAGACAGTGATAGAAAAGGATATATCTTCGTATTAAAACTAGACAAAATCATTCTCAGAAAACACTTTGTGATGTGTGCGTTCAACTCACAGAGTTTAACCTTTCTTTAATCGAGCAGTTTGGAAATACACTCTTTGTAAGTCTGCAGCTGGATAATTGTCCCTCTATGAGCCCTTCGTTGGAAACGGGATTTCCTCTTATAATGCTAGACAGAAGAATTCTCAGTCACTTCTTTGTGTTGTGTGTATTCAAGTCACAGAGTTGAACCTTCCTTTAGACAGAGCAGTTTTGAAAAATTCTTTCTGTGGAGTTTGCAAGTGGAGATTTCAAGCGATTTGAGGCTAATCTTTGAAATGGAAATATCTTCGTGTAAAAACTACACAGAATCATTCTCAGAAACTGCTTTGTTATGTGTGCGTTCAGCTCACAGAGTTCCACCTTTCTTTTCATAGAGCAGTTTGGAAAGACTCTGTCTGTAAAGTCTGCAAGTGATTACTTGGACCCCTTTGAGGACTTCGTTGGAAGCGGGATTTTTTCATTTACTGCTAGACAGAAGAATTCTCAGTAAATCCTTTGTGTTGTGTGTATTCAACTCACAGAGTGGAACCTTCCTTTATTCAGAGCACTTTTGAAAAACACTTTTTGTGGAATTTGCAAGTGGAGATTTCAAGCGATTTGACGCCAATCTTAGACATGGAAATATCTTCATATTAAAAGTACACAGAGTCATTCGTAGAAACTATGTTGTGATGTGTGCCTTCAACTCACAGAGTTTAACCTTTCTTTTCATAGAGCAGTTCGGAAACACTCTATTTGTAAAGGCTGCAAGTGGATATTTGGACCTCTTTGAGGCCATCGTTGGAAACGGGATTTCTTCATATAACGCTAGACAGAAGAATTCTCAGTAACTTCTTTGTGTTGTTTGTATTCAACACACAGATTTGAACCTTCCTTTAGAGAGAGCAGATTTGAAACACTCTGTTTTTGGAATTTGCAAGTGCAGATTTCAAGCGCTTCTAGGCCTATGGCAGAAAAGGAAATATCTTCGTATAAAAACTACACAGAATCATTCTCAACAACTACTTTGTGATGTGTGCGTTCAACTCACAGAGTTTAACCTTTCTTTTCATAGAGCAGTTTGGAAACACTGTGTTTGTAAAGCCTGCAAGTGCTTTTTTGGACTTCATTGAGGCCTTCGTTGGAAACGGGATTTCTTCATATAATGCTAGACAGAAGAATTCTCAGTCACTTCTTTGTGTTGAGGTATTCAAGTCACAGAGTTGAACCTTCCTTTAGACAGAGCAGTTTTGGAAAACTCTTTCTGTGGAATTTGCAATTGGAGATTTCAAGCGATTTGAGGCTAATCTTTGAAATGGAAATATCTTCGTGTAAAAACTACACAGAATCATTCTCAGAAACTGCTTTGTTATGTGTGCGTTCACCTCACAGAGTTTCACCTTTCTTTTCATAGAGCTGTTTGGAAAGAATCTGTCTGTAAAGTCTTCAAGTGATTAGTTAGACCCCGTTGAGGCCTTCGTTGGAAGAAGGATTTCTCATTTACTGTTAACAGAAGAATTCTCAGTAAATCCTTTCTGTTGTGTGTATTCAATTCACAGAGTTGAACCTTCCTTTATTCAGAGCAGTTTTGAAACGCTCTTTTTGAGGAATTTGCAAGTGGAGATTTCAAGCGATTTGACGCCAATCTTACACATGGAAATATCTTCGTATTAAAAGAACACAGACTCATTCGCAGAAACAAATTTGTGATGTGTGCCTTCAACTCACAGAGTTTAACCTTTCTTTTTATAGAGCAGTTCGGAAACACTCTATTTGTAAAGTCCGCAAGTGGATATTTGGACCTCTTTGAGGCCTTCGTTGGAAACGGGATTTCTTCATATAACGCTAGAAAGAAGAATTCTCAGTAACTTCTTTGTGTTGCGTGTATTCCACTCACAGAGTTGAAACTTTCCTGAGAGAGAGCAGAGTTGAAACACTCTTTCTGTGCAATTTGCTAGTGCAGATTTCAAACGCTTCGAAGACAGTGATAGAAAAGGATATATCTTCGTATTAAAACTAGACAAAATCATTCTCAGAAAACACTTTGTGATGTGTGTGTTCAACTCACAGAGTTTAACCTTTCTTTAATCGAGCAGTTTGGAAATACACTCTTTGTAAGTCTGCAGCTGGATAATTGTCCCTCTATGAGCCCTTCGTTGGAAACGGGATTTCCTCTTATAATGCTAGACAGAAGAATTCTCAGTCACTTCTTTGTGTTGTGTGTATTCAAGTCACAGAGTTGAACCTTCCTTTACACAGAGCAGTTTTGAAAAACTCTTTCTGTGGAATTTGCAAGTGGAGATTTCAAGCGATTTGAGGCTAATCTTTGAAATGGAAATATCTTCGTGTAAAAACTACACAGAATCATTCTCAGAAACTGCTTTGTTATGTGTGCGTTCAGCTCACAGAGTTCCACCTTTCTTTTCATAGAGCAGTTTGGAAAGACTCTGTCTGTAAAGTCTGCAAGTGATTACTTGGACCCCTTTGAGGACTTCGTTGGAAGCGGGATTTTTTCATTTACTGCTAGACAGAAGAATTCTCAGTAAATCCTTTGTGTTGTGTGTATTCAACTCACAGAGTGGAACCTTCCTTTATTCAGAGCAGTTTTGAAAAACACTTTTTGTGGAATTTGCAAGTGGAGATTTCAAGCGATTTGACGCCAATCTTAGACATGGAAATATCTTCATATTAAAAGTACACAGAGTCATTCGTAGAAACTAGTTTGTGATGTGTGCCTTCAACTCACAGAGTTTAACCTTTCTTTTCATAGAGTAGTTTGGAAACACTCTATTTGTAAAGTCTGCAAGTGGATATTTGGACCTCTTTGAGGCCTTCGTTCGAAAAGGGATTTCTTCATACAACGCTAGACAGAAGAATTCTCAGTAACTTCTTTGTGTTGTGTGTATTCAACTCACAGAGTTGAACCTTTCTTTAGAGAGAGCAGAGTTGAAACACTCTGTTTTTGGAATTTGCAAGTGCAGATTTCAAGCGATTCTAGGCCTATGGCAGAAAAGGAAATATCTTCGTATAAAAACTACACAGAATCATTCTCAACAACTACTTTGTGATGTGTGCGTTCAACTCACAGAGTTTAACCTTTCTTTTCATAGAGCAGTTTGGAAACACTCTGTTTGTAAAGCCTGCAAGTGCTTTTTTGGACTTCATTGAGGCCTTCGTTGGAAACGGGATTTCTTCATATAATGCTAGACAGAAGAATTCTCAGTCACTTCTTTGTGTTGTGTGTATTCAAGTCACAGAGTTGAACCTTCTTTTAGACAGAGCAGTTTTGAAAAATTCTTTCTGTGGAATTTGCAATTGGAGATTTTAAGAGATTTGAGGCTAATCTTTGAAATGGAAATATCTTCGTGTAAAAACTACACAGAATCATTGTCAGAAACTGCTTTGTTATGTGTGCGTTCAGCTCACAGAGTTCCACCTTTCTTTTCATAGAGCAGTTTGGAAAGACTCTGTCTGTAAAGTCTGCAAGTGATTACTTGGACCCCTTTGAGGACTTCGTTGGAAGCGGGATTTTTTCATTTACTGCTAGACAGAAGAATTCTCAGTAAATCCTTTGTGTTGTGTGTATTCAACTCACAGAGTGGAACCTTCCTTTGTTCAGAGCACTTTTGAAACACTCTTTTTGTGGAATTTGCAAGTGGAGATTTCAAGCGAATTCACGCCAATCTTAGACATGGAAACATCTTCGTATTAAAAGTACACAGAGTCATTCGCAGAAACTAGTTTGTGATGTGTGCCTTCAACTCACGGAGTTTAACCTTTCTTTTCATAGAGCAGTTTGGAAACACTCTATTTGTAAAGTCTGCAAGTGGATATTTGGACCTCTTTGAGGCCTTCGTTGGAAACGGGATTTCTTCATATAACGCTAGACAGAAGAATTCTCAGTAACTTCTTTGTGTTGTGTGTATTCCACTCACAGAGTTGAACCTTTCTTGAGAGAGAGCAGAGTTGAAACACTCTTTCTGTGGAATTTGCTAGTGCAGATTTCAAACGCTTCGAAGACAGTGATAGAAAAGGATATATCTTCGTATTAAAACTAGACAAAATCATTCTCAGAAAACACTTTGTGATGTGTGTGTTCAACTCACAGAGTTTAACCTTTCTGTAATCAAGCAGTTTGGAAATACACTCTTTGTAAGTCTGCAGCTGGATAATTGTCCCTCTATGAGCCCTTTCGTTGGAAACGGGATTTCCTCATATAATGCTAGACAGAAGAATTCTCAGTAACTTCTTTGTGTTGTTTGTATTCAACTCACAGATTTGAACCTTCCTTTAGAGAGAGCAGATTTGAAACACTGTGGTTTTGGAATTTGCAAGTGCAGATTACAAGCGCTTCTAGGCCTATGGCAGAAAAGGAAATATCTTCGTATAAAAACTACACAGAATCATTCTCACCAACTACTTTGTGATGTGTGCGTTCAACTCACAGAGTTTAACCTTTCTTTTCATAGAGCAGTTTGGAAACACTCTGTTTGTAAAGTCTGCAGGTGCTTATTTGGACTTCTTTGAGGCCTTCGTTGGAAACGGGATTTCTTCATATAATGCTAGACAGAAGAATTCTCAGTCACTTCTTTGTGTTGTGTGTATTCAAGTCACAGAGCTGAACCTTCCTTTACACAGAGCAGTTTTGAAAAACTCTTTCTGTGGAATTTGCAAGTGGAGATTTCAAGCGATTTGAGGCTAATCTTTGAAATGGAAATATCTTCGTGTAAAAACTACACAGAATCATTCTCAGAAACTGCTTTGTCATCTGTGCGTTCAGTTCACAGAGTTTCACCTTTCTCTTCATAGAGCAGTTTGGAAAGACTCTGTCTGTAAAGTCTGCAAGTGATTAGTTAGACCCCTTTGAGGCCTTCGTTGGAAGCGGGATTTCTCATTTACTGCTAGACAGAAGAATTCTCAGTAAATCCTTGGTGTTGTGTGTATTCAACTCACAGAGTTGAGCCTTCCTTTATTCAGAGAAGTTTTGAAAAACACTTTTTGTGGAATTTGCAAGTGGAGATTTCAAGCGATATGACGCCAATCTTAGACGTGGAAATATCTTCATATTAAAAGTACACAGAGTCATTCTTAGAAACTAGTTTGTGAAGTGTGCCTTCAACTCACAGAGTTTAACCTTTCTTTTCATAGAGCAGTTTAGAAACACTCTATTTCTAAAGTCTGCAAGTAGATATTTGGACCTCTTTGAGGCCTTCGTTGGAAACGGGATTTCTTCATATAACGCTAGACAGAAGAATTCTCAGTAACTTCTTTGTGTTGTGTGTATTCAACTCACAGAGTTGAACCTTTCTTGAGAGAGAGCAGAGTTGAAACACTCTTTTTGTGGAATTTGCTAGTGCAGATTACAAACGCTTCGAAGACAGTGATAGAAAAGGATATATCTTCGTATTAAAACTAGACAAAATCATTCTCAACAACTACTCTGTGATGTGTGCGTTGAACTCACAAAGTTTAACCTTTCTTTTCATAGAGAAGTTTGGAAACACTCTGTTTGTAAAGCCTGCAAGTGCTTTTTTGGACTTCATTGAGGCCTTCGTTGGAAACGGGATTTCTTCATATAATGCTAGACAGAAGAATTCTCAGTCACTTCTTTGTGTTGTGTGTATTCAAGTCACAGAGTTGAACCTTCCTTTACACAGAGCAGTTTTGAAAAACTCTTTCTGTGGAATTTGCAAGTGGAGATTTCAAGCGATTTGAGGCTAATCTTTGAAATGGAAATATCTTCGTGTAAAAACTACACAGAAGCATTCTCAGAAACTGCTTTGTCATACTGTGCGTTCAGTTCACAGAGTTTCACCTTTCTCTTCATAGAGCAGTTTGGAAAGACTCTGTCTGTAAAGTCTGCAAGTGATTAGTTAGACCCCTTTGACGCCTTCGTTGGAAGCGGGATTTCTCATTTACTGCTTGACAGAAGAATTCTCAGTAAATCCTTTGTGTTGTGTGTATTCAACTCACAGAGTGGAACCTTCCTTTATTCAGAGCAGTTTTGAAAAACACTTTTTGTGGAATTTGCAAGTGGAGATTTCAAGCGATTTGACGCCAATCTTAGACATGGAAATATCTTCATATTAAAAGTACACAGAGTCATTCGTAGAAACTAGTTTGTGATGTGTGCCTTCAACTCACAGAGTTTAACCTTTCTTTTCATAGAGCAGTTGGGAAACACTCTGTTTGTAGAGTCTGCAAGTGGATATTTGGACCTCTTTGAGGCCTTCGTTGGAAACGGGATTTCTTCATACAACGCTAGACAGAAGAATTCTCAGTAACTTCTTTGTGTTGTGTGTATTCAACTCACAGAGTTGAACCTTTCTTTAGAGAGAGCAGAGTTGAAACACTCTGTGTTTGGAATTTGCAAGTGCAGATTTCAAGCGATTCTAGGCCTATGGCAGAAAAGGAAATATCTTCGTATAAAAACTACACAGAATCATTCTCAACAACTACTTTGTGATGTGTGCGTTCAACTCACAGAGTTTAACCTTTCTTTTCATAGAGCAGTTTGGAAACACTCTGTTTGTAAAGTCTGCAGGTGCTTATTTGGACTTCTTTGAGGCCTTCGTTGGAAACGGGATTTCTTCATGTAATGCTAGACAGAAGAATTCTCAGTCACTTCTTTGTGTTGTGTGTATTCAAGTCACAGAGTTGAACCTTCCTTTACACAGAGCAGTTTTGAAAAACTCTTTCTGTGGAATTTGCAAGTGGAGATTTCAAGCGATTTGAGGCTAATCTTTGAAATGGAAATAGCTTCGTGTAAAAACTACACAGAATCATTCTCAGAAACTGCTTTGTTATGTGTGCGTTCAGCTCACAGAGTTCCACCTTTCTTTTCATAGAGCAGTTTGGAAAGACTCTGTCTGTAAAGTCTGCAAGTGATTACTTGGACCCCTTTGAGGACTTCGTTGGAAGCGGGATTTTTTCATTTACTGCTAGACAGAAGAATTCTCAGTAAATCCTTTGTGTTGTGTGTATTCAACTCACAGAGTGGAACCTTCCTCTATTCAGAGCTGTTTTGAAACATTCTTTTTGTGGAATTTGCAGGTGGAGATTTCAAGCGAATTCACGCCAATCTTAGACATGGAAACATCTTCGTATTAAAAGTACACAGAGTCATTCGTAGAAACTAGTTTGTGATGTGTGCCTTCAACTCACAGAGTTTAACCTTTCTTTTCATAGAGCAGTTGGGAAAAACTCTATTTGTAAAGTCTGCAAGTGGATATTTGGACCTCTTTGAGGCCTTCGTTGGAAACGGGATTTCTTCATATAACGTTAGACAGAAGAATTCTCTGTAACTTCTTTGTGTTGTGTGTATTCCACTCACAGAGTTGAACCTTTCTTGAGAGAGAGCAGAGTTGAAACACTCTTTCTGTGGAATTTGCTAGTGCAGATTTCAAACGCTTCGAAGACAGTGATAGAAAAGGATATATCTTCGTATTAAAACTAGACAAACTCATTCTCAACAACTACTTTGTGATGTGTGGGTTCAACTCACAGAGTTTAACTTTTCTTTTCATAGAGCAGTTTGGAAACACTCTGTTTGTAAAGCCTACAAGTGCTTTTTTGGACTTCATTGAGGCCTTCGTTGGAAAAGGGATTTCTTCACATAATGCTAGACAGAAGAATTCTCAGTAACTTCTTTCTGTTGTGTTTAATCAAGTCACAGAGTTGAAACTTCCTTTAGACAGAGCAGTTTTGAAAAATTCTTTCTGTGGAATTTACAAGTGGAGATTTCAAGCGATTTGAGGCTAATCTTTGAAATGGAAATATCTTCGTGTAAAAACTACACAGAATCATTCTCAGAAACTGCTTTGTTATGTGTGCGTTCAGCTCACAGAGTTCCACCTTTTCTTTTCATAGAGCAGTTTGGAAAGACTCTGTCTGTAAAGTCTGCAAGTGATTACTTGGACCCCTTTGAGGACTTCGTTGGAAGCGGGATTTTTTCATTTACTGCTAGACAGAAGAATTCTCAGTAAATCCTTTGTGTTGTGTGTATTCAACTCACAGAGTGGAACCTTCCTTTATTCAGAGCAGTTTTGAAACACTCTTTTTGTGGAATTTGCAAGTGGAGATTTCAAGCGAATTCACGCCAATCTTAGACATGGAAACATCTTCGTATTAAAAGTACACAGAGTCATTCGCAGAAACTAGTTTGTGATGTGTGCCTTCAACTCACGGAGTTTAACCTTTCTTTTTATAGAGCAGTTTGGAAACACTCTATTTGTAAAGTCTGCAAGTGGATATTTGGACCTCTTTGAGGCCTTCGTTGGAAACGGGATTTCTTCATATAACGCTAGACAGAAGAATTCTCAGTAACTTCTTTGTGTTGTGTGTATTCAACTCACAGAGTTGAACCTTTCTTTAGAGAGAGCAGAGGTGAAACACTCTTTTTGTGGAATTTGCTAGTGCAGATTTCAAACGCTTCGAAGACAGTGATAGAAAAGGATATATCTTCGTATTAAAACTAGACAAAATCATTCTCAACAACTACTTTGTGATGTGTGCGTTCAACTCACAGAGTTTAACCTTTCTTTTCTTAGAGCAGTTTGGAAACACTCTGTTTGTAAAGCCTGCAAGTGCTTTTTTGGACTTCATTGAGGCCTTCGTTGGAAACGGGATTTCTTCATATAATGCTAGACAGAAGAATTCTCAGTCAGTTCTTTGTGTTGTGTGTATTCAAGTCACAGAGGTGAACCTTCCTTTAGACAGAGCAGTTTTGAAAAATTCTTTCTGTGGAATTTGCAATTGGAGATTTTAAGCGATTTGAGGCTAATCTTTGAAAAGGAAATATCTTCGTGGAAAAACTACACAGAATCATTCTCAGAAACTGCTTTGTTATCTGTGCGTTCAGTTCACAGAGTTTCACCTTTCTCTTCATAGAGCAGTTTGGAAAGACTCTGTAAAGTCTGCAAGTGATTAGTTAGACCCCATTGAGGCCTTCGTTGGAAGCGGGATTTCTCATTTACTGCTAGACAGAAGAATTCTCAGTAAATCCTTTGTGTTGTGTGTATTCAACTCACAGAGTGGAACCTTCCTTTATTCAGAGCAGTTTTGAAAAACACTTTTTGTGGAATTTGCAAGTGGAGATTTCAAGCGATTTGACGCCAATCTTAGACATGGAAATATCTTCATATTAAAAGTACACAGAGTCATTCGTAGAAACTAGTTTGTGATGTGTGCCTTCAACTCACAGAGTTTAACCTTTCTTTTCATAGAGCAGTTTGGAAACACTCTATTTGTAAAGTCTGCAAGTGGATATTTGGACCTCTTTGAGGCCTTCGTTGGAAACGGGATTTCTTCATACAACGCTAGACAGAAGAATTCTCAGTAACTTCTTTGTGTTGTGTGTATTCAACTCACAGAGTTGAACCTTTCTTTAGAGAGAGCAGAGTTGAAACACTCTGTTTTTGGAATTTGCAAGTGCAGATTTCAAGCCATTCTAGGCCTATGGCAGAAAAGGAAATATCTTCGTATAAAAACTACACAGAATCATTCTCAACAACTACTTTGTGATGTGTGCGTTCAACTCACAGAGTTTAACCTTTCTTTTCATAGAGCAGTTTGGAAACACTCTGTTTGTAAAGTCTGCAGGTGCTTATTTGGACTTCTTTGAGGCCTTCGTTGGAAACGGGATTTCTTCATATAATGCTAGACAGAAGAATTCTCAGTCACTTCTTTGTGTTGTGTGTATTCAAGTCACAGAGTTGAACCTTCCTTTACACAGAGCAGTTTTGAAAAACTCTTTCTGTGGAATTTGCAAGTGGAGATTTCAAGCAATTTGAGGCTAATCTTTGAAATGGAAATATCTTCGTGTAAAAACTACACAGAATCATTCTCAGAAACTGCTTTGTTATGTGTGCGTTCAGCTCACAGAGTTCCATCTTTCTTTTCATAGAGCAGTTTGGAAAGACTCTGTCTGTAAAGTCTGCAAGTGATTACTTGGACCCCTTTGAGGACTTCGTTGGAAGCGGGATTTTTTCATTTACTGCTAGAAAGAAGAATTCTCAGTAAATCCTTTGTGTTGTGTGTATTCAACTCACAGAGTGGAACCTTCCTTTATTCAGAGCAGTTTTGAAACACTCTTTTTGTGGAATTTGCAAGTGGAGATTTCAAGCGAATTCACGCCAATCTTAGACATGGAAACATCTTCGTATTAAAAGTACACAGAGTCATTCGTAGAAACTAGTTTGTGATGTGTGCCTTCAACTCACAGAGTTTAACCTTTCTTTTCATAGAGCAGTTGGGAAACACTCTATTTGTAAAGTCTGCAAGTGGATATTTGGACCTCTTTGAGGCCTTCGTTGGAAACGGGATTGCTTCATATAACGCTAGACAGAAGAATTCTCAGTAACTTCTTTGTGTTGTGTGTATTCAACTCACAGAGTTGAACCTTTCTTTAGAGAGAGCAGAGTTGAAACACTCTGTTTTTGGAATTTGCAAGTGCAGATTTCAAGCGATTCTAGGCCTATGGTAGAAAAGGAAATATCTTCGTATAAAAACTACACAGAATCATTCTCAGAAAACACTTTGTGATGTGTGTGTTCAACTCACAGGAGTTTAACCTTTCTTTAATCGAGCAGTTTGGAAATACACTCTTTGTAAGTCTGCAGCTGGATAATTGTCCCTCTATGAGCCCTTCGTTGGAAACGGGATTTCCTCATATAATGCTAGACAGAAGAATTCTCAGTCACTTCTTTGTGTTTTGTGTATTCAAGTCACAGAGTTGAACCTTCCTTTACACAGAGCAGTTTTGAAAAACTCTTTCTGTGGAATTTGCAAGTGGAGATTTCAAGCGATTTGAGGCTAATCTTTGAAATGGAAATAGCTTCGTGTAAAAACTACACAGAAGCATTCTCAGAAACTGCTTTGTCATCTGTGCGTTCAGTTCACAGAGTTTCACCTTTCTCTTCATAGAGCAGTTTGGAAAGACTCTGTCTGTAAAGTCTGCAAGTGATTAGTTAGACCCCTTTGAGGCCTTCGTTGGAAGCGGGATTTCTCATTTACTGCTAGACAGAAGAATTCTCAGTAAATCCTTTGTGTTGTGTGTATTCAACTCACAGAGTGGAACCTTCCTTTATTCAGAGCAGTTTTGAAAAACACTTTTTGTGGAATTTGCAAATGGAGATTTCAACCGATTTGACGGCAATCTTAGACATGGAAATATCTTCATATTAAAAGTACACAGAGTCATTCGTAGAAACTAGTTTGTGATGTGTGCCTTCAACTCACAGAGTTTAACCTTTCTTTTCATAGAGCAGTTTGGAAACACTCTGTTTGTAAAGCCTGCAAGTGCTTTTTTGGACTACATTGAGGCCTTCGTTGGAAACGGGATTTCTTCATACAACGCTAGACAGAAGAATTCTCAGTAACTTCTTTGTGTTGTTTGTATTCAACTCACAGATTTGAACCTTCCTTTGGAGAGAGCAGATTTGAAACACTCTGTTTTTGGAATTTGCAAGTGCAGATTACAAGCGCTTCTAGGCCTATGGCAGAAAAGGAAATATCTTCGTATAAAAACTACACAGAATCATTCTCACCAACTACTTTGTGATGTGTGCGTTCAACTCACAGAGTTTAACCTTTCTTTTCATAGAGCAGTTTGGAAACACTCTGTTTGTAAAGTTCAGGTGCTTATTTGGACTTCTTTGAGGCCTTCGTTGGAAACGGGATTTCTTCATATAATGCTAGACAGAAGAATTCTCAGTCACTTCTTTGTGTTGTGTGTATTCAAGTCACAGAGTTGAACCTTCCTTTACACAGAGCAGTTTTGAAAAACTCTTCCTGTGGAATTTGCAAGTGGAGATTTCAAGCGATTTGAGGCTAATCTTTGAAATGGAAATATCTTCGTGTAAAAACTACACAGAATCATTCTCAGAAACTGCTTTGTTATGTGTGCGTTCAGCTCACAGAGTTCCACCTTTCTTTTCATAGAGCAGTTTGGAAAGACTCTGTCTGTAAAGTCTGCAAGTGATTACTTGGACCCCTTTGAGGACTTCGTTGGAAGCGGGATTTTTTCATTTACTGCTAGACAGAAGAATTCTCAGTAAATCCTTTGTGTTGTGTGTATTCAACTCACAGAGTGGAACCTTCCTTTATTCAGAGCAGTTTTGAAACACTCTTTTTGTGGAATTTGCAAGTGGAGATTTCAAGCGAATTCACGCCAATCTTAGACATGGAAACATCTTCGTATTAAAAGTACACAGAGTCATTCGTAGAAACTAGTTTGTGATGTGTGCCTTCAACTCACAGAGTTTAACTTTTCTTTTCATAGAGCAGTTCGGAAACACTCTGTTTGTAAAGTCTGCAAGTGGATATTTGGACCTCTTTGAGGCCTTCGTTGGAAACGGGATTTCTTCATACAACGCTAGACAGAAGAATTCTCAGTAACTTCTTTGTGTTGTGTGTATTCAACTCACAGAGTTGAACCTTTCTTTAGAGAGAGCAGAGTTGAAACACTCTGTTTTTGGAATTTGCAACTGCAGATTTCAAGCCATTCTAGGCCTATGGCAGAAAAGGAAATATCTTCGTATAAAAACTACACAGAATCATTCTCAGAAAACACTTTGTGATGTGTGTGTTCAACTCACAGAGTTTAACCTTTCTTTAATCGAGCAGTTTGGAAATACCCTCTTTGTAAAGTCTGCAAGTGGATAATTGTCCCTCTTTGAGACCTTCTTTGGAAACGGGATTTCCTCATATAGTGCTAGACAGAAGAATTCTCAGTCACTTCTTTGTGTTGTGTGTATTCAAGTCACAGAGTTGAACCTTCCTTTAGACAGAGCAGTTTTGAAAAGTTCTTTCTGTGTAATTTGCAAGTGGAGATTTCAAGCGATTTGAGGCTAATACTTTGAAATGGAAATATCTTCGTGTAAAAACTACACAGAAATCATTCTCAGAAACTGCTTTGTTATGTGTGCGTTCAGCTCACAGAGTTCCACCTTTCTTTTCATAGAGCAGTTTGGAAAGACTCTGTCTGTAAAGTCTGCAAGTGATTACTTGGACCCCTTTGAGGACTTCGTTGGAAGCGGGAATTTTTCATTTACTGCTAGACAGAAGAATTCTCAGTAAATCCTTTGTGTTGTGTGTATTCAACTCACAGAGTGGAACCTTCCTTTATTCAGAGCACTTTTGAAACACTCTTTTTGTGGAATTTGCAAGTGGAGATTTCAAGCGAATTCACGCCAATCTTAGACATGGAAACATCTTCGTATTAAAAGTACACAGAGTCATTCGCAGAAACTAGTTTGTGATGTGTGCCTTCAACTCACGGAGTTTAACCTTTCTTTTCATAGAGCAGTTTGGAAACACTCTATTTGTAAAGTCTGTAAGTGGATATTTGGACCTCTTTGAGGCCTTCGTTGGAAACGGGATTTCTTCATATAACGCTAGACAGAAGAATTCTCAGTAACTTCTTTGTGTTGTGTGTATTCCACTCACAGAGTTGAACCTTTCTTGAGAGAGAGCAGAGTTGAAACACTCTGTTTGTGGAATTTGCTAGTGCCGATTTGAAACGCTTCGAAGACAGTGATAGAAAAGGATATATCTTCGTATTAAAACTAGACAAAATCATTCTCAACAACTACTTTGTGATGTGTGCGTTCAGCTCACAGAGTTTAACCTTTCTTTTCATAGAGCAGTTTGGAAACACTCTGTTTGTAAAGTCTGCAGGTGCTTATTTGGACTTCTTTGAGGCCTTCGTTCGAAACGGGATTTCTTCATATAATGCTAGACAGAAGAATTCTCAGTCACTTCTTTGTGTTGTGTGTATTCAAGTCACAGAGTTGAACCTTCCTTTACACAGAGCAGTTTTGAAAAACTCTTTCTGTGGAATTTGCAAGTGGAGATTTCAAGCGATTTGAGGCTAATCTTTGAAATGGAAATATCTTCGTGTAAAAACTACACAGAATCATTCTCAGAAACTGCTTTGTTATGTGTGCGTTCAGCTCACAGAGTTCCACCTTTCTTTTCATAGAGCAGTTTGGAAAGACTCTGTCTGTAAAGTCTGCAAGTGATTACTTGGACCCCTTTGAGGACTTCGTTGGAAGCGGGATTTTTTCATTTACTGCTAGACAGAAGAATTCTCAGTAAATCCTTTGTGTTGTGTGTATTCAACTCACAGAGTGGAACCTTCCTTTATTCAGAGCAGTTTTGAAACACTCTTTTTGTGGAATTTGCAAGTGGAGATTTCAAGCGAATTCACGCCAATCTTAGACATGGAAACATCTTCGTATTAAAAGTACACAGAAGTCATTCGCAGAAACTAGTTTGTGATGTGTGCCTTCAACTCACGGAGTTTAACCTTTCTTTTCATAGAGCAGTTTGGAAACACTCTATTTGTAAAGTCTGCAAGTGGATATTTGGACCTCTTTGAGGCCTTCGTTGGAAACGGGATTTCTTCATATAACGCTAGACAGAAGAATTCTCAGTAACTTCTTTGTGTTGTGTGTATTCAACTCACAGAGTTGAACCTTTCTTGAGAGAGAGCAGAGTTGAAACACTCTGTTTGTGGAATTTGCTAGTGCAGATTTCAAACGCTTCGAAGACAGTGATAGAAAAGGATATATCTTCGTATTAAAACTAGACAAAATCATTCTCAGAAAACACTTTGTGATGTGTGTGTTCAACTCACAGAGTTTAACCTTTCTTTAATCGAGCAGTTTGGAAATACACTCTTTGTAAGTCTGCAGCTGGATAATTGTCCCTCTATGAGCCCTTCGTTGGAAACAGGATTTCCTCTTATAATGCTAGACAGAAGAATTCTCAGTCACTTCTTTGTGTTGTGTGTATTCAAGTCACAGAGTTGAACCTTCCTTTAGACAGAGCAGTTTTGAAAAACTCTTTCTGTGGATTTTGCAAGTGGTGATTTCATGCGATTTGAAGCCAATCTTTGAAATGGAAATATCTTCGTGTAAAAACTACACAGAATCATTCACAGAAACTGCTTTGTTATGTGTGCGTTCAACTCACAGAGTTTCACCTTTCTTTTCAAACAGCAGTTTGGAAAGACTCTGTCTGTAAAGTCTGCAAGTGAATACTTGGACCCCTTTGAGGACTTCGTTGGAAGTGGGATTTTTTCACTTACTGCTAGACAGAAGAATTCTCAGTAAATCCTTTGTGTTGTGTGTATTCAACTCACAGAGTTGAACCTTCCTTTATTCAGAGCAGTTTGGAAACACTCTTTGTGGAATTTGCCAGTGGAGATTTCAAGCGATTTGACGTCAATCTTAGACATGGAAATATCTTCGTATTAAAACTACACAGAGTCATTCGCAGAAACTGGTTTGTGATGTGTGCCTTCAACTCACAGAGTTTAACCTTTCTTTTCATACAGCAGTTTGGAAACACTCTATTTGTAAAGTCTGCAAGTGGATATTTGGACCTCTTTGAGGCCTTCCTTGGAAACGGGATTTCTTCATATAACGCTAGACAGAAGAATTCTCAGTAACTTCTTTGTGTTGTGTGTATTCAACTCACAGAGTTGAACCTTTCTTTAGAGAGAGCAGAGTTGAAACACTCTGTTTTTGGAATTTGCAAGTGCAGATTTCAAGCGATTCTAGGCCTATGGCAGAAAAGGAAATATCTTCGTATAAAAACTACACAGAATCATTCTCAACAACTACTTTGTGATGTGTGCGTTCAGCTCACAGAGTTTAACCTTTCTTTTCATAGAGCAGTTTGGAAACACTCTGTTTGTAAAGTCTGCAGGTGCTTATTTGGACTTCTTTGAGGCCTTCGTTGGAAACGGGATTTCTTCATATAATGCTAGACAGAAGAATTCTCAGTCACTTCTTTGTGTTGTGTGTATTCAAGTCACAGAGTTGAACCTTCCTTTACACAGAGCAGTTTTGAAAAACTCTTTCTGTGGAATTTGCAAGTGGAGATGTCAAGCGATTTGAGGCTAATCTTTGAAATGGAAATATCTTCGTGTAAAAACTACACAGAGTCATTCGTAGAAACTAGTTTGTGATGTGTGCCTTCAAATCACGGAGTTTAACCTTTCTTTTCATAGAGCAGTTCGGAAACACTCTATTTGTACAGTCTGCAAGTGGATATTTGGACCTCTTTGAGGCCTTCGTTGGAAACGGGATTTCTTCATATAACGCTAGACAGAAGAATTCTCAGTAACTTCTTTGTGTTGTGTGTATTCAACTCACAGAGTTGAACCTTTCTTTAGAGAGAGCAGAGTTGAAACACTCTTTTTGTGGAATTTGCTAGTGCAGATTTCAAACGCTTCGAAGACCGTGATAGAAAAGGATATATCTTCGTATTAAAAGTAGACAAAATCATTCTCAGAAATCACTTTGTGATGTGTGTGTTCAACTCACAGAGTTTAACTTTTCTTAATCGAGCAGTTTGGAAATACACTCTTTGTAAGTCTGCAGGTGGATAATTGGCCCTCTTTGAGCCCTTCGTTGGAAACGGGATTTCCTCATATAATGCTAGACAGAAGAATTCTCAGTAACTTCTTTGTGTTGTTTGTATTCAACTCACAGATTTGAACCTTCCTTTAGAGAGAGCAGATTTGAAACACTCTGTTTTTGGAATTTGCAAGTGCAGATTTCAAGCGCTTCTGGGCCTATGGCAGAAAAGGAAATATCTTCGTATAAAAACTACACAGAGTCATTGGCAAAAACTAGCTTGTGATGTGTGCCTTCAACTCACAGAGTTTAATCTTTCTTTTCATAGAGCAGTTTGGAAACACTCTATTTGTAAAGTCTGCAAGTGGATATTTGGACCTCTTTGAGGCCTTCGTTGGAAACGGGATTTCTTCACATAATGCTAGACAGAAGAATTCTCAGTCACATCTTTGTGTTGTGTGTATTCAAGTCACAGAGTTGTACCTTCCTTTAGACAGAGCAGTTTTGAAAAATTCTTTCTGTGGAATTTGCAAGTGGAGATTTCAAGCGAGTTGAGGCTAATCTTTGAAATGGAAATATCTTCGTGTAAAAACTACACAGAATCATTCTCAGAAACTGCTTTGTTATGTGTGCGTTCAGCTCACAGAGTTCCACCTTTCTTTTCATAGAGCAGTTTGGAAAGACTCTGTCTGTAAAGTCTGCAAGTGATTACTTGGACCCCTTTGAGGACTTCGTTGGAAGCGGGATTTTTTCATTTACTGCTAGACAGAAAGAATTCTCAGTAAATCCTTTGTGTTGTGTGTATTCAACTCACAGAGTGGAACCTTCCTTTATTCAGAGCAGTTTTGAAACACTCTTTTTGTGGAATTTGCAAGTGGAGATTTCAAGCGAATTCACGCCAATCTTAGACATGGAAACATCTTCGTATTAAAAGTACACAGAGTCATTCGTAGAAACTAGTTTGTGATGTGTGCCTTCAACTCACAGAGTTTAACCTTTCTTTTCATAGAGCAGTTTGGAAACACTATTTGTAAAGTCTGCAAGTGGATATTTGGACCTCTTTGAGGCCTTCGTTGGAAATGGGATTTCTTCATACAACACTAGACAGAAGAATTCTCAGTAACTTCTTTGTGTTGTGTGTATTCAACTCACAGAGTTGAACCTTTCTTTAGAGAGAGCAGAGTTGAAACACTCTGTTTTTGGAATTTGCAAGTGCAGATTTCAAGCGATTCTAGGCCTATGGCAGAAAAGGAAATATCTTCGTATAAAAACTACACAGAATCATTCTCAACAACTACTTTGTGATGTGTGCGTTCAACTCACAAAGTTTAACCTTTCTTTTCATAGAGCAGTTTGGAAACACTCTGTTTGTAAAGCCTGCAATTGTTTTTTTGGACTTCATTGAGGCCTTCGTTGGAAAGGGGATTTCTTCATATAATGCTAGACAGAAGAATTCTCAGTAAATCCTTTGTGTTGTGTGTATTCAACTCACAGAGTGGAACCTTCCTTTATTCAGAGCAGTTTTGAAACACTCTTTTTGTGGAATTTGCAAGTGGAGATTTCAAGCGATTTGACGCCAATCTTAGACATGGAAATATCTTCATATTAAAAGTACACAGAAGTCATTCGTAGAAACTAGTTTGTGATGTGTGCCTTCAACTCACAGAGTTTAACCTTTCTTTTCATAGAGCAGTTGGGAAACACTCTATTTGTAAAGTCTGCAAGTGGATATTTGGACCTCTTTGAGGCCTTCGTTGGAAATGGGATTTCTTCATACAACACTAGACAGAAGAATTCTCAGTAACTTCTTTGTGTTGTGTGTATTCAACTCACAGAGTTGAACCTTTCTTTAGAGAGAGTAGAGTTGAAACACTCTGTTTTTGGAATTTGCAAGTGCAGATTTCAAGCGATTCTAGGCCTATGGCAGAAAAGGAAATATCTTCGTATAAAAACTACACAGAATCATTCTCAACAGCTACTTTGTGATGTGTGCGTTCAACTCACAAAGTTTAACCTTTCTTTTCATAGAGAAGTTTGGAAACACTCTGTTTGTAAACCCTGCAAGTGCTTTTTTGGACTTCATTGAGGCCTTCGTTGGAAACGGGATTTCTTCATATAATGCTAGACAGAAGAATTCTCAGTCACTTCTTTGTGTTGTGTGTATTCAAGTCACAGAGTTGAACCTTCCTTTACACAGAGCAGTTTTGAAAAACTCTTTCTGTGGAATTTGCAAGTGGAGATTTCAAGCGATTTGAGGCTAATCTTTGAAATGGAAATATCTTCGTGTAAAAACTACACAGAATCATTCTCAGAAACTGCTTTGTTATGTGTGCGTTCAGCTCACAGAGTTCCACCTTTCTTTTCATAGAGCAGTTTGGAAAGACTCTGTCTGTAAAGTCTGCAAGTGATTACTTGGACCCCTTTGAGGACTTCGTTGGAAGCGGGATTTTTTCATTTACTGCTAGACAGAAGAATTCTCAGTAAATCCTTTGTGTTGTGTGTATTCAACTCACAGAGTGGAACCTTCCTTTATTCAGAGCAGTTTTGAAACACTCTTTTTGTGGAATTTGCAAGTGGAGATTTCAAGCGATTTGACGCCAATCTTAGACATGGAAATATCTTCATATTAAAAGTACACAGAGTCATTCGTAGAAACTAGTTTGTGATGTGTGCCTTCAACTCACAGAGTTTAACCTTTCTTTTCATAGAGCAGTTGGGAAACACTCTATTTGTAAAGTCTGCAAGTGGATATTTGGACCTCTTTGAGGCCTTCGTTGGAAACGGGATTTCTTCATATAACGCTAGACAGAAGAATTCTCAGTAACTTCTTTGTGTTGTGTGTATTCAACTCACCGAGTTGAACCTTTCTTTAGAGAGAGCAGAGTTGAAACACTCTTCTTGTGGAATTTGCTAGTGCAGATTTCCAACGCTTCGAAGACAGTGATAGAAAAGGATATATCTTCGTATTAAAACTAGACAAAATCATTCTCAGAAAACTCTTTGTGATGTGTGTGTTCAACTCACAGAGTTTAACCTTTCTTTAATCGAGCAGTTTGGAAATACACTCTTTGTAAGTCTGCAGGTGGATAATTGGCCCTCTTTGAGCCCTTCGTTGGAAACGGGATTTCCTCATATAATGCTAGACAGAAGAATTCTCAGTAACTTCTTTGTGTTGTTTGTATTCAACTCACAGATTTGAACCTTCCTTTAGAGAGAGCAGATTTGAAACACCCTGTTTTTGGAATTTGCAAGTGCAGATTTCAAGCGCTTCTAGGCCTATGGCAGAAAAGGAAATATCTTCGTATAAAAACTACACAGAATCATTCTCAGAAACTGCTTTGTTATGTGTGCGTTCACCTCACAGAGTTTCACCTTTCTTTTCATAGAGCTGTTTGGAAAGAATCTGTCTGTAAAGTCTTCAAGTGATTAGTTAGACCCCGTTGAGGCCTTCGTTGGAAGAAGGATTTCTCATTTACTGTTAACAGAAGAATTCTCAGTAAATCCTTTGTGTTGTGTGTATTCAACTCACAGAGTGGAACCTTCCTTTATTCAGAGCAGTTTTGAAACACTCTTTTTGTGGAAATTGCAAGTGGAGATTTCAAGCGAATTCACGCCAATCTTAGACATGGAAACATCTTCGTATTAAAAGTACACAGAGTCATTCGTAGAAACTAGTTTGTGATGTGTGCCTTCAACTCACAGAGTTTAACCTTTCTTTTCATAGAGCAGTTGGGAAACACTCTATTTGTAAAGTCTGCAAGTGGATATTTGGACCTCTTTGAGGCCTTCGTTGGAAACGGGATTTCTTCATATAACGCTAGACAGAAGAATTCTCAGTAACTTCTTTGTGTTGTGTGTATTCAACTCACAGAGTTGAACCTTTCTTTAGAGGGAGCAGAGGTGAAACACTCTTTTTGTGGAATTTGCTAGTGTAGATTTCAAACGCTTCGAAGACAGTGATAGAAAAGGATATATCTTCGTATTAAAAGTAGACAAAATCATTCTCAGAAAACTCTTTGTGATGTGTGTGTTCAACTCACAGAGTTTAACCTTTCTTTTCATAGAGCAGTTTGGAAACACTCTGTTTGTAAAGCCTGCAAGTGCTTTTTTGGACTTCATTGAGGCCTTCGTTGGAAACGGGATTTCTTCATACAACGCTAGACAGAAGAATTCTCAGTAACTTCTTTGTGTTGTGTGTATTCAACTCACAGAGTTGAACCTTTCTTTAGAGAGAGCAGAGTTGAAACACTCTGTTTTTGGAATTTGCAAGTGCAGATTTCAAGCGCTGCTAGGCCTATGGCAGAAAAGGAAATATCTTCGTATAAAAACTACACAGAATCATTCTCAACAACTACTTTGTGATGTGTGCGTTCAACTCACAGAGTTTAACCTTTCTTTTCATAGAGCAGTTTGGAAACACTCTGTTTGTAAAGCCTGCAAGTGCTTTTTTGGACTTCATTGAGGCCTTCGTTGGAAACGGGATTTCTTCATATAATGCTAGACAGAAGAATTCTCAGTCACTTCTTTGTGTTGTGTGTATTCAAGTCACAGAGTTGAACCTTCCTTTAGACAGAGCAGTTTTGAAAAATTCTTTCTGTGTAATTTGCAAGTGGAGATTTCAAGCGATTTGAGGCTAATCTTTGAAATGGAAATATCTTCGTGTAAAAACTACACAGAATCATTCTCAGAAACTGCTTTGTCATCTGTGCGTTCAGTTCACAGAGTTTCACCTTTCTCTTCATAGAGCAGTTTGGAAAGACTCTGTCTGTAAAGTCTGCAAGTGATTAGTTAGACCCCTTTGAGGCCTTCGTTGGAAGCGGGATTTCTCATTTACTGCTAGACAGAAGAATTCTCAGTAAATCCTTTGTGTTGTGTGTATTCAACTCACAGAGTGGAACCTTCCTTTATTCAGAGCAGTTTTGAAACACTCTTTTTGTGGAATTTGCAAGTGGAGATTTCAAGCGAATTCACGCCAATCTTAGACATGGAAACATCTTCGTATTAAAAGTACACAGAGTCATTCGTAGAAACTAGTTTGTGATGTGTGCCTTCAACTCACAGAGTTTAACCTTTCTTTTCATAGAGCAGTTTGGAAACACTCTATTTGTAAAGTCTGCAAGTGGATATTTGGACCTCTTTGAGGCCTTCGTTGGAAACGGGATTTCTTCATACAACGCTAGACAGAAGAATTCTCAGTAACTTCTTTGTGTTGTGTGTATTCCACTCACAGAGTTGAACCTTTCTTGAGAGAGAGCAGAGTTGAAACACTCTGTTTGTGGAATTTGCTAGTGCAGATTTCAAACGCTTCGAAGACAGTGATAGAAAAGGATATATCTTCGTATTAAAACTAGACAAAATCATTCTCAGAAAACACTTTGTGATGTGTGCGTTCAACTCACAGAGTTTAACCTTTCTTTAATCGAGCAGTTTGGAAATACACTCTTTGTAAGTCTGCAGCTGGATAATTGTCCCTCTATGAGCCCTTCGTTGGAAACGTGATTTCCTCTTATAATGCTAGACAGAAGAATTCTCAGTCACTTCTTTGTGTTGTGTGTATTCAAGTCACAGAGTTGAACCTTCCTTTAGACAGAGCAGTTTTGAAAAATTCTTTCTGTGGAGTTTGCAAGTGGAGATTTCAAGCGATTTGAGGCTAATCTTTGAAATGGAAATATCTTCGTGTAAAAACTACACAGAATCATTCTCAGAAACTGCTTTGTTATGTGTGCGTTCAGCTCACAGAGTTCCACCTTTCTTTTCATAGAGCAGTTTGGAAAGACTCTGTCTGTAAAGTCTGCAAGTGATTACTTGGACCCCTTTGAGGACTTCGTTGGAAGCGGGATTTTTTCATTTACTGCTAGACAGAAGAATTCTCAGTAAATCCTTTGTGTTGTGTGTATTCAACTCACAGAGTGGAACCTTCCTTTATTCAGAGCACTTTTGAAACACTCTTTTTGTGGAATTTGCAAGTGGAGATTTCAAGCGAATTCACGCCAATCTTAGACATGGAAACATCTTCGTATTAAAAGTACACAGAGTCATTCGCAGAAACTAGTTTGAGATGTGTGCCTTCAACTCACGGAGTTTAACCTTTCTTTTCATAGAGCAGTTTGGAAACACTCTATTTGTAAAGTCTGCAAGTGGATATTTGGACCTCTTTGAGGCCTTCGTTGGAAACGGGATTTCTTCATATAACGCTAGACAGAAGAATTCTCAGTAACTTCTTTGTGTTGTTTGTATTCAACTCACAGATTTGAACCTTCCTTTGGAGAGAGCAGATTTGAAACACTCTGTTTTTGGAATTTGCAAGTGCAGATTGCAAGCGCTTCTAGGCCTATGGCAGAAAAGGAAATATCTTCGTATAAAAACTACACAGAATCATTCTCAACAACTACTTTGTGATGTGTGCGTTCAACTCACAGAGTTTAACCTTTCTTTTCATAGAGCAGTTTGGAAACACTCTGTTTGTAAAGTCTGCAGGTGCTTCTTTGGACTTCTTTGAGGCCTTCGTTGGAAACGGGATTTCTTCATATAATGCTAGACAGAAGAATTCTCAGTCACTTCTTTGTGTTGTGTGTATTGAAGTCACAGAGGTGAAACTTCTTTTAGACAGAGCAGTTTTGAAAAATTCTTTCTGTGGAATTTGCAATTGGAGATTTTAAGCGATTTGAGGCTAATCTTTGAAATGGAAATATCTTCGTGTAAAAACTACACAGAATCATTCTCAGAAACTGCTTTGTTATCTGTGCGTTCAGTTCACAGAGTTTCACCTTTCTCTTCATAGAGCAGTTTGGAAAGACTCTGTCTGTAAAGTCTGCAAGTGATTAGTTAGACCCCTTTGAGGACTTCGTTGGAAGCGGGATTTCTCATTTACTGCTAGACAGAAGAATTCTCAGTAAATCCTTTGTGTTGTGTGTATTCAACTCACAGAGTGGAACCTTCCTTTATTCAGAGCACTTTTGAAACACTCTTTTTGTGGAATTTGCAAGTGGAGATTTCAAGCGATTTGACGCCAATCTTAGACATGGAAATATCTTCATATTAAAAGTACACAGAATCATTCGTAGAAACTAGTTTGTGATGTGTGCCTTCAACTCACAGAGTTTAACCTTTCTTTTCATAGAGCAGTTCGGAAACACTCTATTTGTAAAGTCTGCAAGTGGATATTTGGACCTCTTTGAGGCCATCTTTGGAAAAGGGATTTCTTCATATAACGCTAGACAGAAGAATTCTCAGTAACTTCTTTGTGTTGTGTGTATTCCACTCACAGAGTTGAACCTTTCTTGAGAGAGAGCAGAGTTGAAACACTCTGTTTGTGGAATTTGCTAGTGCAGATTTCAAACGCTTCGAAGACAGTGATAGAAAAGGATATATCTTCGTATTAAAACTAGACAAAATCATTCTCAGAAAACACTTTGTGATGTGTGTGTTCAACTCACAGAGTTTAACCTTTCTTTAATCGAGCAGTTTGGAAATACACTCTTTGTAATTCTGCAGGTGGATAATTGTCCCTCTATGAGCCCTTCGTTGGAAACGGGATTTCCTCATATAATGCTAGACAGAAGAATTCTCAGTAACTTCTTTGTGTTGTTTGTATTCAACTCACAGATTTGAACCTTCCTTTGGAGAGAGCAGATTTGAAACACTCTGTTTTTGGAATTTGCAAGTGCAGATTGCAAGCGCTTCTAGGCCTATGGCAGAAAAGGAAATATCTTCGTATAAAAACTACACAGAATCATTCTCAACAACTACTTTGTGATGTGTGCGTTCAGCTCACAGAGTTTAACCTTTCTTTTCATAGAGCAGTTTGGAAACACTCTGTTTGTAAAGTCTGCAGGTGCTTATTTGGACTTCTTTGAGGCCTTCGTTCGAAACGGGATTTCTTCATATAATGCTAGACAGAAGAATTCTCAGTCACTTCTTTGTGTTGTGTGTATTCAAGTCACAGAGCTGAACCTTCCTTTACACAGAGCAGTTTTGAAAAACTATTTCTGTGGAATTTGCAAGTGGAGATTTCAAGCGATTTGAGGCTAATCTTTGAAATGGAAATAGCTTCGTGTAAAAACTACACAGAATCATTCTCAGAAACTGCTTTGTCATCTGTGCGTTCAGTTCACACAGTTTCACCTTTCTCTTCATAGAGCAGTTTGGAAAGACTCTGTCTGTAAAGTCTGCAAGTGATTAGTTAGACCCCTTTGAGGCCTTCGTTGGAAGCGGGATTTCTCATTTACTGCTAGACAGAAGAATTCTCAGTAAATCCTTTGTGTTGTGTGTATTCAACTCACAGAGTGGAACCTTCCTTTATTCAGAGCAGTTTTGAAACACTCTTTTTGTGGAATTTGCAAGTGGAGATTTCAAGCGATTTGACGCCAATCTTAGACATGGAAATATCTTCATATTAAAAGTACACAGAGTCATTCGCAGAAACTAGTTTGTGATGTGTGCCTTCAACTCACGGAGTTTAACCTTTCTTTTCATAGAGCAGTTTGGAAACACTCTATTTGTAAAGTCTGCAAGTGGATATTTGGACCTCTTTGAGGCCTTCGTTGGAAACGGGATTTCTTCATATAACGCTAGACAGAAGAATTCTCAGTAACTTCTTTGTGTTGTGTGTATTCCACTCACAGAGTTGAACCTTTCTTGAGAGAGAGCAGAGTTGAAACACTCTTTCTGTGGAATTTGCTAGTGCAGATTTCAAACGCTTCGAAGACAGTGATAGAAAAGGATATATCTTCGTATTAAAACTAGACAAAATCATTCTCAACAACTACTTTGTGATGTGTGCGTTCAACTCACAGAGTTTAACCTTTCTTTTCATAGAGCAGTTTGGAAACACTCTGTTTGTAAAGTCTGCAGGTGCTTATTTGGACTTCTTTGAGGCCTTCGTTGGAAACGGGATTTCTTCATGTAATGCTAGACAGAAGAATTCTCAGTCACTTCTTTGTGTTGTGTGTATTCAAGTCACAGAGTTGAACCTTCCTTTACACAGAGCAGTTTTGAAAAACTCTTTCTGTGGAATTTGCAAGTGGAGATTTCAAGCGTTTTGAGGCTAATCTTTGAAATGGAAATAGCTTCGTGTAAAAACTACACAGAATCATTGTCAGAAACTGCTTTGTTATGTGTGCGTTCAGCTCACAGAGTTCCACCTTTCTTTTCATAGAGCAGTTTGGAAAGACTCTGTCTGTAAAGTCTGCAAGTGATTACTTGGACCCCTTTGAGGACTTCGTTGGAAGCGGGATTTTTTCATTTACTGCTAGACAGAAGAATTCTCAGTAAATCCTTTGTGTTGTGTGTATTCAACTCACAGAGTGGAACCTTCCTTTATTCAGAGCACTTTTGAAACACTCTTTTTGTGGAATTTGCAAGTGCAGATTTCAAGCGAATTCACGCCAATCTTAGACATGGAAACATCTTCGTATTAAAAGTACACAGAGTCATTCGTAGAAAGTAGTTTGTGATGTGTGCCTTCAACTCACAGAGTTTAACCTTTCTTTTCATAGAGCAGTTGGGCAACACTCTATTTGTAAAGTCTGCAAGTGGATATTTGGACCTCTTTGAGGCCTTCGTTGGAAACGGGATTTCTTCATATAACGCTAGACAGAAGAATTCTCAGTAACTTCTTTGTGTTGTGTGTATTCAACTCACAGAGTTGAACCTTTCTTTAGAGGGAGCAGAGGTGAGACACTCTTTTTGTGGAATTTGCAACTGCAGATTTCAAGCGATTCTTGGCCTATGGCAGAAAAGGAAATATCTTCGTATAAAAACTACACAGAGTCATTCTCAACAACTACTTTGTGATGTGTGCGTTCAACTCACAGAGTTTAACCTTTCTTTTCATAGAGCAGTTTGGAAACACTCTGTTTGTAAAGCCTGCAAGTGCTTTTTTGGACTTCATTGAGGCCTTCGTTGGAAACGGGATTTCTTCATATAATGCTAGACAGAAGAATTCTCAGTCACTTGTTTGTGTTGTGTGTATTCAAGTCACAGAGTTGAACCTTCCTTTAGACAGAGCAGTTTTGAAAAATTCTTTCTGTGGAGTTTGCAAGTGGAGATTTCAAGCGATTTGAGGCTAATCTTTGAAATGGAAATATCTTCGTGTAAAAACTACACAGAATCATTGTCAGAAACTGCTTTGTTATGTGTGCGTTCAGCTCACAGAGTTCCACCTTTCTTTTCATAGAGCAGTTTGGAAAGACTCTGTCTGTAAAGTCTGCAAGTGATTACTTGGACCCCTTTGAGGACTTCGTTGGAAGCGGGATTTTTTCATTTACTGCTAGACAGAAGAATTCTCAGTAAATCCTTTGTGTTGTGTGTATTCAACTCACAGAGTGGAACCTTCCTTTATTCAGAGCAGTTTTGAAACACTCTTTTTGTGGAAATTGCAAGTGGAGATTTCAAGCGAATTCACGCCAATCTTAGACATGGAAACATCTTCGTATTAAAAGTACACAGAATCATTCTCAGAAAACACTTTGTGATGTGTGTGTTCAACTCACAGAGTTTAACCTTTCTTTAATCGAGCAGTTTGGAAATACACTCTTTGTAAGTCTGCAGCTGGATAATTGTCCCTACTATGAGCCCTTCGTTGGAAACGGGATTTCCTCATATAATGCTAGACAGAAGAATTCTCAGTAACTTCTTTGTGTTGTGTGTATTCAACTCACAGAGTTGAACCTTTCTTTAGAGGGAGCAGAGGTGAAACACTCTTTTTGTGGAATTTGCTAGTGTAGATTTCAAACGCTTCGAAGACAGTGATAGAAAAGGATATATCTTCGTATTAAAAGTAGACAAAATCATTCTCAGAAAACTCTTTGTGATGTGTGTGTTCAACTCACAGAGTTTAACCTTTCTTTAATCGAGCAGTTTGGAAATACACTCTTTGTAAGTCTGCAGGTGGATATTTGGCCCTCTTTGAGCCCTTCGTTGGAAACGGGATTTCCTCATATAATGCTAGACAGAAGAATTCTCAGTAACTTCTTTGTGTTGTTTGTATTCAACACACAGATTTGAACCTTCCTTTAGAGAGAGCAGATTTGAAACACCCTGTTTTTGGAATTTGCAAGTGCAGATTTCAAGCGCTTCTAGGCCTATGGCAGAAAAGGAAATATCTTCGTATAAAAACTACACAGAATCATTCTCAGAAAACACTTTGTGATGTGTGTGTTCAACTCACAGAGTTTAACCTTTCTTTAATCGAGCAGTTTGGAAATACACTCTTTGTAAGTCTGCAGCTGGATATTTGTCCCTCTATGAGCCCTTCGTTGGAAACGGGATTTCCTCTTATAATGCTAGACAGAAGAATTCACAGTAACTTCTTTGTGTTGTTTGTATTCAACTCACAGATTTGAACCTTCCTTTAGAGAGAGCAGATTTGAAACACTCTGTTTTTGGAATTTGCAAGTGCAGATTACAAGCGCTTCTAGGCCTATGGCAGAAAAGGAAATATCTTCGTATAAAAACTACACAGAATCATTCTCAACAACTACTTTGTGATGTGTGCGTTCAACTCACAGAGTTTAACCTTTCTTTTCATAGAGGAGTTTGGAAACACTCTGTTTGTAAAGCCTGCAAGTGCTTTTTTGGACTTCATTGAGGCCTTCGTTGGAAACGGGATTTCTTCATATAATGCTAGACAGAAGAATTCTCAGTCACTTCTTTGTGTTGTGTGTATTCAAGTCACAGAGTTGAACCTTCCTTTACACAGAGCAGTTTTGAAAAACTCTTTCTGTGGAATTTGCAAGTGGAGATTTCAAGCGATTTGAGGCTAATCTTTGAAATGGAAATATCTTCGTGTAAAAACTACACAGAATCATTCTCAGAAACTGCTTTGTCATCTGTGCGTTCAGTTCACAGAGTTTCACCTTTCTCTTCATAGAGCAGTTTGGAAAGACTCTGTCTGTAAAGTCTGCAAGTGATTAGTTAGACCCCTTTGAGGCCTTCGTTGGAAGTGGGATTTCTCATTTACTGCTAGACAGAAGAATTCTCAGTAAATCCTTTGTGTTGTGTGTATTCAACTCACAGAGTGGAACCTTCCTTTATTCAGAGCAGTTTTCAAACACTCTTTTTGTGGAATTTGCAAGTGGAGATTTCAAGCGATTTGACGCCAATCTTAGACATGGAAATATCTTCATATTAAAAGTACACAGAGTCATTCGTAGAAACTAGTTTGTGATGTGTGCCTTCAACTCACAGAGTTTAACCTTTCTTTTCATAGAGCAGTTGGGAAACACTCTATTTGTAAAGTCTGCAAGTGGATATTTGGACCTCTTTGAGGCCTTCGTTGGAAACGGGATTTCTTCATATAACGCTAGACAGAAGAATTCTCAGTAACTTCTTTGTGTTGTGTGTATTCAACTCACAGAGTTGAACCTTTCTTTAGAGGGAGCAGAGGTGAAAAACTCTTTTTGTGGAATTTGCTAGTGTAGATTTCAAACGCTTCGAAGACAGTGATAGAAAAGGATATATCTTCGTATTAAAAGTAGACAAAATCATTCTCGACAACTACTTTGTGATGTGTGCGTTCAACTCACAGAGTTTAACCTTTCTTTTCATAGAGCAGTTTGGAAACACTCTGTTTGTAAAGTCTGCAGGTGCTTATTTGGACTTCTTTGAGGCCTTCGTTGGAAACGGGATTTATTCATGTAATGCTAGACAGAAGAATTCTCAGTCACTTCTTTGTGTTGTGTGTATTCAAGTCACAGAGTTGAACCTTCCTTTACACAGAGCAGTTTTGAAAAACTCTTTCTGTGGAATTTGCAAGTGGAGATTTCAAGCGATTTGAGGCTAATCTTTGAAATGGAAATAGCTTCGTGTAAAAACTACACAGAATCATTCTCAGAAACTGCTTTGTCATCTGTGCTTTCAGTTCACAGAGTTTCACCTTTCTCTTCTTAGAGCAGTTTGGAAAGACTCTGTCTGTAAAGTCTGCAAGTGATTAGTTAGACCCCTTTGAGGCCTTCGTTGGAAGCGGGATTTCTCATTTACTGCTAGACAGAAGAATTCTCAGTAAATCCTTTGTGTTGAGTGTATTCAACTCACAGAGTGGAACCTTCTTTATTCAGAGCAGTTTTGAAAAACACTTTTTGTGGAATATGCAAGTGGAGATTTCAAGCGATTTGACGCCAATCTTAGACATGGAAATATCTTCATATTAAAAGTACACAGAGTAATCCGTAGAAACTAGTTTGTGATGTGTGCCTTCACCTCACAGAGTTTAACCTTTCTTTTCATAGAGAAGTTTGGAAACACTCTATTTTTAAAGTCTGCAAGTGGATATTTGGACCTCTTTGAGGCCTTCGTTGGAAACGGGATTTCTTCATACAACGCTAGACAGAAGAATTCTCAGTAACTTCTTTGTGTTGTGTGTATTCAACTCACAGAGTTGAACCTTTCTTTGGAGAGAGCAGATCTGAAACACTCATTTTGTGGAATTTGCTAGTGCAGATTTCAAACGCTTCGAAGACAATGATAGAAAAGGATATATCTTCATATTAAAACTAGACAAAATCATTCTCAGAAAACACTTTGTGATGTGTGTGTTCAACTCACAGAGTTTAACCTTTCTTTAATCGAGCAGTTTGGAAATACACTCTTTGTAAGTCTGCAGCTGGATAATTGTCCCTCTATGAGCCCTTCGTTGGAAACGGGATTTCCTCTTATAATGCTAGACAGAAGAATTCTCAGTCACTTCTTTGTGTTGTGTGTATTCAAGTCACAGAGTTGAACCGTCCTTTAGACAGAGCAGTCTTGAAAAATTCTGTCTGTGGAATTTGCAAGTGGAGATTTCAAGCAATTTGAGGCTAATCTTTGAAATGGAAATATCTTCGTGTAAAAACTACACAGAATCATTCTCAGAAACTGCTTTGTCATCTGTGCGTTCAGTTCACAGAGTTTCACCTTTCTCTTCATAGAGCAGTTTGGAAAGACTCTGTCTGTAAAGTCTGCAAGTGATTAGTTAGACCCCTTTGAGGCCTTCGTTGGAAGCGGGATTTCTCATTTACTGCTAGACAGAAGAATTCTCAGTAAATCCTTTGTGTTGTGTGTATTCAACTCACAGAGTGGAACCTTCCTTTATTCAGAGCAGTTTTGAAACACTCTTTTTGTGGAATTTGCAAGTGGAGATTTCAAGCGATTTGACGCCAATCTTAGACATGGAAATATCTTCATATTAAAAGTACACAGAGTCATTCGCAGAAACTAGTTTGTGATGTGTGCCTTCAACTCACGGAGTTTAACCTTTCTTTTCATAGAGCAGTTTGGAAACACTCTATTTGTAAAGTCTGCAAGTGGATATTTGGACCTCTTTGAGGCCTTCGTTGGAAACGGGATTTCTTCATATAACGCTAGACAGAAGAATTCTCAGTAACTTCTTTGTGTTGTGTGTATTCCACTCACAGAGTTGAACCTTTCTTGAGAGAGAGCAGAGTTGAAACACTCTGTTTGGGGAATTTGCTAGTGCCGATTTCAAACGCTTCGAAGACAGTGATAGAAAAGGATATATCTTCGTATTAAAACTAGACAAAATCATTCTCAGAAAACACTTTGTGATGTGTGTGTTCAACTCACAGAGTTTAACCTTTCTTTAATCGAGTAGTTTGGAAATACACTCTTTGTAAGTCTGCAGCTGGATAATTGTCCCTCTATGAGCCCTTCGTTGGAAACGGGATTTCCTCTTATAATGCTAGACAGAAGAATTCTCAGTAACTTCTTTGTGTTGTTTGTATTCAACTCACAGATTTGAACCTTCCTTTGGAGAGAGCAGATTTGAAACACTCTGTTTTTGGAATTTGCAAGTGCAGATTGCAAGCGCTTCTAGGCCTATGGCAGAAAAGGAAATATCTTCGTATAAAAACTACACAGAATCATTCTCAACAACTACTTTGTGATGTGTGCGTTCAACTCACAGAGTTTAACCTTTCTTTTCATAGAGCAGTTTGGAAACACTCTGTTTGTAAAGTCTGCAGGTGCTTATTTGGACTTCTTTGAGGCCTTCGTTGGAAACGGGATTTCTTCATATAATGCTAGACAGAAGAATTCTCAGTCACTTCTTTGTGTTGTGTGTATTCAAGTCACAGAGTTGAACCTTCCTTTACACAGAGCAGTTTTGAAAAACTCTTTCTGTGGAATTTGCAAGTGGAGATTTCAAGCGATTTGAGGCTAATCTTTGAAATGGAAATATCTTCGTGTAAAAACTACACAGAATCATTCTCAGAAACTGCTTTGTTATGTGTGCGTTCAGCTCACAGAGTTCCACCTTTCTTTTCATAGAGCAGTTTGGAAAGACTCTGTCTGTAAAGTCTTCAAGTGATTACTTGGACCCCTTTGAGGACTTCGTTGGAAGCGGGATTTTTTCATTTACTGCTAGACAGAAGAATTCTCAGTAAATCCTTTGTGTTGTGTGTATTCAACTCACAGAGTGGAACCTTCCTTTATTCAGAGCAGTTTTGAAACACTCTTTTTGTGGAATTTGCAAGTGGAGATTTCAAGCGAATTCACGCCAATCTTAGACATGGAAACATCTTCGTATTAAAAGTACACAGAATCATTCTCAGAAAAAACTTTGTGATGTGTGTGTTCAACTCACAGAGTTTAACCTTTCTTTAATCGAGCAGTTTGGAAATACACTCTTTGTAAGTCTGCAGCTGGATAATTGTCCCTCTAGGAGCCCTTCGTTGGAAACGGGATTTCCTCTTATAATGCTAGACAGAAGAATTCTCAGTAACTTCTTTGTGTTGTTTGTATTCAACTCACAGATTTGAACCTTCCTTTGGAGAGAGCAGATTTGAAACACTCTGTTTTTGGAATTTGCAAGTGCAGATTGCAAGCGCTTCTAGGCCTATGGCAGAAAAGGAAATATCTTCGTATAAAAACTACACAGGAATCATTCTCAACAACTACTTTGTGATGTGTGCGTTCAACTCACAGAGTTTAACCTTTCTTTTCATAGAGCAGTTTGGAAACACTCTGTTTGTAAAGTCTGCAGGTGCTTATTTGGACTTCTTTGAGGCCTTCGTTGGAAACGGGATTTCTTCATATAATGCTAGACAGAAGAATTCTCAGTCACTTCTTTGTGTTGTGTGTATTCAAGTCACAGAGTTGAACCTTCCTTTACACAGAGCAGTTTTGAAAAACTCTTTCTGTGGAATTTGCAAGTGGAGATTTCAAGCGATTTGAGGCTAATCTTTGAAATGGAAATATCTTCGTGTAAAAACTACACAGAATCATTCTCAGAAACTGCTTTGTTATGTGTGCGTTCAGCTCACAGAGTTCCACCTTTCTTTTCATAGAGCAGTTTGGAAAGACTCTGTTTGTAAAGTCTGCAAGTGATTACTTGGACCCCTTTGAGGACTTCGTTGGAAGCGGGATTTTTTCATTTACTGCTAGACAGAAGAATTCTCAGTAAATCCTTTGTGTTGTGTGTATTCAACTCACAGAGTGGAACCTTCCTTTATTCAGAGCAGTTTTGAAACACTCTTTTTGTGGAATTTGCAAGTGGAGATTTCAAGCGATTTGACGCCAATCTTAGACATGGAAATATCTTCATATTAAAAGTACACAGAGTCATTCGCAGAAACTAGTTTGTGATGTGTGCCTTCAACTCACGGAGTTTAACCTTTCTTTTCATAGAGCAGTTTGGAAACACTCTATTTGTAAAGTCTGCAAGTGGATATTTGGACCTCTTTGAGGCCTTCGTTGGAAACGGGATTTCTTCATATAACGCTAGACAGAAGAATTCTCAGTAACTTCTTTGTGTTGTGTGTATTCAACTCACAGAGTTGAACCTTTCTTGAGAGAGAGCAGAGTTGAAACACTCTTTCTGTGGAATTTGCTAGTGCAGATTTCAAACGCTTCGAAGACAGTGATAGAAAAGGATATATCTTCGTATTAAAACTAGACAAAATCATTCTCAGAAAACACTTTGTGATGTGTGTGTTCAACTCACAGAGTTTAACCTTTCTTTAATCGAGCAGTTTGGAAATACACTCTTTGTAAGTCTGCAGCTGGATAATTGTCCCTCTATGAGCCCTTCGTTGGAAACGGGATTTCCTCTTATAATGCTAGACAGAAGAATTCTCAGTAACTTCTTTGTGTTGTGTGTATTCAAGTCACAGAGTTGAACCTTCTTTTAGACAGAGCAGTTTTGAAAAATTCTTTCTGTGGAATTTGCAAGTGGAGATTTCAAGCGATTTGAGGCTAATCTTTGAAATGGAAATATCTTCGTGTCAAAACTACACAGAATCATTCTCAGAAACTGCTTTGTTATCTGTGCGTTCAGTTCACAGAGTTTAACCTTTCTCTTCATAGAGCAGTTTGGAAAGACTCTGTCTGTAAAGTCCGCAAGTGATTAGTTAGACCCCTTTGAGGCCTTCGTTGGAAGCGGGATTTCCCATTTACTGCTAGACAGAAGAATTCTCAGTAAATCCTTTGTGTTGTGTGTATTCAACTCACAGAGTGGAACCTTCCTTTATTCAGAGCAGTTTTGAAAAACACTTTTTGTGGAATTTGCAAGTGGAGATTTCAAGCGATTTGATGCCAATCTTAGACATGGGAAATATCTTCATATTAAAAGTACACAGAGTCATTCGTAGAAACTAGTTTGTGATGTGTGCCTTCAACTCACAGAGTTTAACCTTTCTTTTCATAGAGCAGTTTGGAAACACTCTATTTGTAAAGTCTGCAAGTGGATATTTGGACCTCTTTGAGGCCTTCGTTGGAAAAGGGATTTCTTCGTATAACGCTAGACAGAAGAATTCTCAGTAACTTCTTTGTGTTGTGTGTATTCAACTCACAGAGTTGAACCTTTCTTTAGAGGGAGCAGAGGTGAAACACTCTTTTTGTGGAATTTGCTAGTGTAGATTTCAAACGCTTCGAAGACAGTGATAGAAAAGGATATATCTTCGTATTAAAAGTAGACAAAATCATTCTCAGAAAACTCTTTGTGATGTGTGTGTTCAACTCACAGAGTTTAACCTTTCTTTAATCGAGCAGTTTGGAAATACACTCTTTGTAATTCTGCAGGTGGATATTTGGCCCTCTTTGAGCCCTTCGTTGGAAACGGGATTTCCTCATATAATGCTAGACAGAAGAATTCTCAGTAACTTCTTTGTGTTGTTTGTATTCAACACACAGATTTGAACCTTCCTTTAGAGAGAGCAGATTTGAAACACTCTGTTTTTGGAATTTGCAAGTGCAGATTTCAAGCGCTTCTAGGCCTATGGCAGAAAAGGAAATATCTTCGTATAAAAACTACACAGGAAATCATTCTCAACAACTACTTTGTGATGTGTGCGTTCAACTCACAGAGTTTAACCTTTCTTTTCATAGAGCAGTTTGGAAACACTCTGTTTGTAAAGCGTGCAAGTGCTTTTTTGGACTTCATTGAGGCCTTCGTTGGAAACGGGATTTCTTCATACAACGCTAGACAGAAGAATTCTCAGTAACTTCTTTGTGTTGTGTGTATTCAACTCACAGAGTTGAACCTTTCTTTAGAGAGAACAGAGTTGAAACACTCTGTTTTTGGAATTTGCAAGTGCAGATTTCAAGCGATTCTAGGCCTATGGCAGAAAAGGAAATATCTTCGTATAAAAACTACCCAGAATCATTCTCAACAACTACTTTGTGATGTGTGCGTTCAACTCACAGAGTTTAACCTTTCTTTTCATAGAGCAGTTTGGAAACACTCTGTTTGTAAAGCCTGCAAGTGCTTTTTTGGACTTCATTGAGGCCTTCGTTGGAAACGGGATTTCTTCATATAATGCTAGACAGAAGAATTCTCAGTCACTTCTTTGTGTTTTGTGTATTCAAGTCACAGAGTTGAACCTTCCTTTAGACAGAGCAGTTTTGAAAAATTCTTTCTGTGTAATTTGCAAGTGGAGATTTCAAGCGATTTGAGGCTAATCTTTGAAATGGAAATATCTTCGTGTAAAAACTACACAGAATCATTGTCAGAAACTGCTTTGTTATGTGTGCGTTCAGCTCACAGAGTTCCACCTTTCTTTTCATAGAGCAGTTTGGAAAGACTCTGTCTGTAAAGTCTGCAAGTGATTACTTGGACCCCTTTGAGGACTTCGTTGGAAGCGGGATTTTTTCATTTACTGCTAGACAGAAGAATTCTCAGTAAATCCTTTGTGTTGTGTGTATTCAACTCACAGAGTGGAACCTTCCTTTATTCAGAACACTTTTGAAACACTCTTTTTGTGGAATTTGCAGGTGGAGATTTCAAGCGAATTCACGCCAATCTTAGACATGGAAACATCTTCGTATTAAAAGTACACAGAGTCATTCGCAGAAACTAGTTTGTGATGTGTGCCTTCAACTCACGGAGTTTAACCTTTCTTTTCATAGAGCAGTTTGGAAACACTCTATTTGTAAAGTCTGCAAGTGGATATTTGGACCTCTTTGAGGCCTTCGTTGGAAACGGGATTTCTTCATATAACGCTAGACAGAAGAATTCTCAGTAACTTCTTTGTGTTGTGTGTATTCCACTCACAGAGTTGAACCTTTCTTGAGAGAGAGCAGAGTTGAAACACTCTTTCTGTGGAATTTGCTAGTGCAGATTTCAAACGCTTCGAAGACAGTGATAGAAAAGGATATATCTTCGTATTAAAACTAGACAAAATCATTCTCAACAACTACTTTGTGATGTGTGCGTTCAACTCACAGAGTTTAACCTTTCTTTTCATAGAGCAGTTTGGAAACACTCTGTTTGTAAAGCCTGCAAGTGCTTTTTTGGACTTCATTGAGGCCTTCGTTGGAAACGGGATTTCTTCATATAATGCTAGACAGAAGAATTCTCAGTCACTTCTTTGTGTTGTGTGTATTCAAGTCACAGAGTTGAACCTTCCTTTAGACAGAGCAGTTTTGAAAAATTCTTTCTGTGGAGTTTGCAAGTGGAGATTTCAAGCGATTTGAGGCTAATCTTTGAAATGGAAATATCTTCGTGTAAGAACTACACAGAATCATTCTCAGAAACTGCTTTGTTATGTGTGCGTTCAGCTCACAGAGTTCCACCTTTCTTTTCATAGAGCAGTTTGGAAAGACTCTGTCTGTAAAGTCTGCAAGTGATTACTTGGACCCCTTTGAGGACTTCGTTGGAAGCGGGATTTTTTCATTTACTGCTAGACAGAAGAATTCTCAGTAAATCCTTTGTGTTGTGTGTATTCAACTCACAGAGTGGAACCTTCCTTTATTCAGAGCAGTTATGAAACACTCTTTTTGTGGAATTTGCAAGTGGAGATTTCAAGCAAATTCACGCCAATCTTAGACATGGAAACATCTTCGTATTAAAAGTACACAGAGTCATTCGCAGAAACTAGTTTGTGATGTGTGCCTTCAACTCACAGAGTTTAACCTTTCTTTTCATAGAGCAGTTTGGAAACACTCTATTTGTAAAGTCTGCAAGTGGATATTTGGACCTCTTTGAGGCCTTCGTTGGAAACGGGATTTCTTCATATAACGCTAGACAGAAGAATTCTCAGTAACTTCTTTGTGTTGTGTGTATTCCACTCACAGAGTTGAACCTTTCTTGAGAGAGAGCAGAGTTGAAACACTCTGTTTGTGGAATTTGCTAGTGCAGATTTCAAACGCTTCGAAGACAGTGATAGAAAAGGATATATCTTCGTATTAAAACTAGACAAAATCATTCTCAGAAAACACTTTGTGATGTGTGTGTTCAACTCACAGAGTTTAACCTTTCTTTAATCGAGCAGTTTGGAAATACACTCTTTGTAAGTCTGCAGCTGGATAATTGTCCCTCTATGAGCCCTTCGTTGGAAACGGGATTTCCTCTTATAATGCTAGACAGAAGAATTCTCAGTCACTTCTTTGTGTTGTGTGTATTCAAGTCACAGAGTTGAACCTTCCTTTACACAGAGCAGTTTTGAAAAACTCTTTCTGTGGAATTTGCAAGTGGAGATTTCAAGCGATTTGAGGCTAATCTTTGAAATGGAAATATCTTCGTGTAAAAACTACACAGAATCATTCTCAGAAACTTCTTTGTTATGTGTGCGTTCAGCTCACAGAGTTCCACCTTTCTTTTCATAGAGCAGTTTGGAAAGACTCTGTCTGTAAAGTCTGCAAGTGATTACTTGGACCCCTTTGAGGACTTCGTTGGAAGCGGGATTTTTTCATTTACTGCTAGACAGAAGAATTCTCAGTAAATCCTTTGTGTTGTGTGTATTCAACTCACAGAGTGGAACCTTCCTTTATTCAGAGCAGTTTTGAAACACTCTTTTGGTGGAATTTGCAAGTGGAGATTTCAAGCGAATTCACGCCAATCTTAGACATGGAAACATCTTCGTATTAAAAGTACACAGAGTCATTCGCAGAAACTAGTTTGTGATGTGTGCCTTCAACTCACAGAGTTTAAGCTTTCTTTTCATAGAGCAGTTTGGAAACACTCTATTTGTAAAGTCTGCAAGTGGATATTTGGACCTCTTTGAGGCCTTCGTTGGAAACGGGATTTCTTCATATAATGCTAGACAGAAGAATTCTCAGTAACTTCTTTGTGTTGTGTGTATTCCACTCACAGAGTTGAACCTTTCTTGAGAGAGAGCAGAGTTGAAACACTCTGTTTGTGGAATTTGCTAGTGCAGATTTCAAACGCTTCGAAGACAGTGATAGAAAAGGATATATCTTCGTATTAAAACTAGACAAAATCATTCTCAGAAAACACTTTGTGATGTGTGTGTTCAACTCACAGAGTTTAACCTTTCTTTAATCGAGCAGTTTGGAAATACACTCTTTGTAAGTCTGCAGCTGGATAATTGTCCCTCTATGAGCCCTTCGTTGGAAACGGGATTTCCTCATATAATGCTAGACAGAAGAATTCTCAGTCACTTCTTTGTGTTGTGTGTATTCAAGTCACAGAGTTGAACCTTCCTTTACACAGAGCAGTTTTGAAAAACTCTTTCTGTGGAATTTGCAAGTGGAGATTTCAAGCGATTTGAGGCTAATCTTTGAAATGGAAATATCTTCGTGTAAAAACTACACAGAATCATTCTCAGAAACTGCTTTGTTATGTGTGCGTTCAGCTCACAGAGTTCCACCTTTCTTTTCATAGAGCAGTTTGGAAAGACTCTGTCTGTAAAGTCTGCAAGTGATTACTTGGACCCCTTTGAGGACTTCGTTGGAAGCGGGATTTTTTCATTTACTGCTAGACAGAAGAATTCTCAGTAAAACCTTTGTGTTGTGTTCATTCAACTCACAGAGTGGAACCTTCCTTTATTCAGAGCAGTTTTGAAACACTCTTTTTGTGGAATTTGCAAGTGGAGATTTCAAGCGATTTGACGCCAATCTTAGACATGGAAATATCTTCATATTAAAAGTACACAGAATCATTCGTAGAAACTAGTTTGTGATGTGTGCCTTCAACTTACAGAGTTTAACCTTTCTTTTCATAGAGCAGTTAGGAAACATTCTATTTATAAAGTCTGCAAGTGGATATTTGGACCTCTTTGAGGCCTTCGTTGGAAAAGGGATTTCTTCATATAACGCTAGACAGAAGAATTCTCAGTAACTTCTTTGTGTTGTGTGTATTCAACTCACAGAGTTGAACGTTTCTTTAGAGAGAGCAGAGTTGAAACACTCTTTTTGTGGAATTTGCTAGTGCAGATTTCAAACGCTTCGAAGACAGTGATAGAAAAGGATATATCTTCGTACTAAAAGTAGACAAAATCATTCTCAGAAAACACTTTGTGATGTGTGTGTTCAACTCACAGAGTTTAACCTTTCTTTAATCGAGCAGTTTGGAAATACAATCTTTGTAAGTCTGCAGGTGGATAATTGGCCCTCTTTGAGCCCTTCATTGGAAACGGGATTTCCTCATATAATGCTAGACAGAAGAATTCTCAGTAACTTCTTTGTGTTGTTTGTATTCAACTCACAGATTTGAACCTTCCTTTAGAGAGACCAGATTTGAAACACTCTGTTTTTGGAATTTGCAAGTGCAGATTTCAAGCGCTTCTAGGCCTATGGCAGAAAAGTAAATATCTTCGTATAAAAACTACACAGAATCATTCTCAACAACTACTTTGTGATGTGTGCGTTGAACTCACAGAGTTTAACCTTTCTTTTCATAGAGCAGTTTGGAAACACTCTGTTTGTAAAGCCTGCAAGTGCTTTTTTGGACTTCATTGACGCCTTCGTTGGAAACGGGATTTCTTCATATAATGCTAGACAGAAGAATTCTCAGTCACTTCTTTGTGTTGTGTGTATTCAAGTCACAGAGTTGAACCTTCTTTTAGACAGAGCAGTTTTGAAAAATTCTTTCTGTGGAATTTGCAAGTGGAGATTTCAAGCGATTTGAGGCTAATCTTTGAAATGGAAATATCTTCGTGTAAAAACTACACAGAATCATTCTCAGAAACTGCTTTGTTATATGTGCGTTCAGTTCACAGAGTTTAACCTTTCTCTTCAGAGAGCAGTTTGGAAAGACTCTGTCTGTAAAGTCCGCAAGTGATTAGTTAGACCCCTTTGAGGCCTTCGTTGGAAGCGGGATTTCCCATTTACTGCTAGACAGAAGAATTCTCAGTAAATCCTTTGTGTTGTGTGTATTCAACTCACAGAGTGGAACCTTCCTTTATTCAGAGCACTTTTGAAAAACACTTTTTGTGGAATTTGCAAGTGGAGATTTCAAGCGATTTGACGCCAATCTTAGACATGGAAATATCTTCATATTAAAAGTACACAGAATCATTCGTAGAAACTAGTTTGTGATGTGTGCCTTCAACTCACAGAGTTTAACCTTTCTTTTCATAGAGCAGTTCGGAAACACTCTATTTGTAAAGTCTGCAAGTGGATATTTGGACCTCTTTGAGGCCTTCGTTGGAAAAGGGATTTCTTCGTATAACGCTAGACAGAAGAATCCTCAGTAACTTCTTTGTGTTGTTTGTATTCAACTCACAGATTTGAACCTTCCTTTAGAGAGAGCAGATTTGAAACACTCTGGTTTTGGAATTTGCAAGTGCAGATTACAAGCGCTTCTAGGCCTATGGCAGAAAAGGAAATATCTTCGTATAAAAACTACACAGAATCATTCTCAACAACTACTTTGTGATGTGTGCGTTCAACTCACAGAGGTTAACCTTTCTTTTCATAGAGCAGTTTGGAAACACTCTGTTTGTAAAGCCTGCAAGTGCTTTTTTGGACTTCATTGAGGCCTTCGTTGGAAACGAGATTTCTTCATATAATGCTAGACAGAAGAATTCTCAGTCACTTCTTTGTGTTGTGTGTATTCAAGTCACAGAGTTGAACCTTCCTTTACACAGAGCAGTTTTGAAAAACTCTTTCTGTGGAATTTGCAAGTGGAGATTTCAAGCGATTTGAGGCTAATCTTTGAAATGGAAATATCTTCGTGTAAAAACTACACAGAATCATTCTCAGAAACTGCTTTGTCATCTGTGCGTTCAGTTCACAGAGTTTCACCTTTCTCTTCATAGAGCAGTTTGGAAAGACTCTGTCTGTAAAGTCTGCAAGTGATTAGTTAGACCCCTTTGAGGCCTTCGTTGGAAGCGGGATTTCTCATTTACTGCTAGACAGAAGAATTCCCAGTAAATCCTTTGTGTTGTGTTTATTCAACTCACAGAGTGGAACCTTCTTTTATTCAGAGCAGTTTTGAAACACTCTTTTTGTGGAATTTGCAAGTGGAGATTTCAAGCGATTTGACGTCAATCTTAGACATGGAAATATCTTCATATTAAAAGTACACAGAGTCATTCGCAGAAACTAGTTTGTGATGTGTGCCTTCAACTCACGGAGTTTAACCTTTCTTTTCATAGAGCAGTTTGGAAACACTCTATTTGTAAAGTCTGCAAGTGGATATTTGGACCTCTTTGAGGCCTTCGTTGGAAACGGGATATCTTCATATAACGCTAGACAGAAGAATTCTCAGTAACTTCTTTGTGTTGTGTGTATTCAACTCACAGAGTTGAACCTTTCTTGAGAGAGAGCAGAGTTGAAACACTCTGTTTGTGGAATTTGCTAGTGCAGATTTCAAACGCTTCGAAGACAGTGATAGAAAAGGATATATCTTCGTATTAAAACTAGACAAAATCATTCTCAGAAAACACTTTGTGATGTGTGTGTTCAACTCACAGAGTTTAACCTTTCTTTAATCGAGCAGTTTGGAAATACACTCTTTGTAAGTCTGCAGCTGGATAATTGTCCCTCTATGAGCCCTTCGTTGGAAACAGGATTTCCTCTTATAATGCTAGACAGAAGAATTCTCACTCACTTCTTTGTGTTGTGTGTATTCAAGTCACAGAGTTGAACCTTCCTTTAGACAGAGCAGTTTTGAAAAATTCTTTCTGTGGAGTTTGCAAGTGGAGATTTCAAGCGATTTGAGGCTAATCTTTGAAATGGAAATATCTTCGTGTAAAAACTACACAGAAGCATTCTCAGAAACTGCTTTGTCATCTGTGCGTTCAGTTCACAGAGTTTCACCTTTCTCTTCATAGAGCAGTTTGGAAAGACTCTGTCTTTAAAGTCTGCAAGTGATTAGTTAGACCCCTTTGAGGCCTTCGTTGGAAGCGGGACTTCTCATTTACTGCTAGACAGAAGAATTCTCAGTAAATCCTTTGTGTTGTGTGTATTCAACTCACAGAGTGGAACCTTCCTTTATTCAGAGCAGTTTTGAAACACTCTTTTTGTGGAATTTGCAAGTGGAGATTTCAAGCGAATTCACGCCAATCTTAGACATGGAAACATCTTCGTATTAAAAGTACACAGAGTCATTCGCAGAAACTAGTTTGTGATGTGTGCCTTCAACTCACGGAGTTTAACCTTTCTTTTCATAGAGCAGTTTGGAAACACTCTATTTGTAAAGTCTGCAAGTGGATATTTGGACCTCTTTGAGGCCTTCGTTGGAAACGGGATTTCTTCATATAACGCTAGACAGAAGAATTCTCAGTAACTTCTTTGTGTTGTGTGTATTCAACTCACAGAGTTGAACCTTTCTTTAGAGAGAGCAGAATTGAAACACTCTGTTTTTGGAATTTGCAAGTGCAGATATCAAGCGATTCTAGGCCTATGGCAGAAAAGGAAATATCTTCGTATAAAAACTGCACAGAATCATTCTCAACAACTACTTTGTGATGTGTGCGTTCAACTCACAAAGTTTAACCTTTCTTTTCATAGAGCAGTTTGGAAACACTCTGTTTGTAAAGCCTGCAATTGCTTTTTTGGACTTCATTGAGGCCTTCGTTGGAAACGGGATTTCTTCATATAATGCTAGACAGAAGAATTCTCAGTCACTTCTTTCTGTTGTGTGTATTCAAGTCACAGAGTTGAACCTTCCTTTAGACAGAGCAGTTTTGAAAAATTCTTTCTGTGGAGTTTGCAAGTGGAGATTTCAAGCGATTTGAGGCTAATCTTTGAAATGGAAATATCTTCGTGTAAAAACTACACAGAAGCATTCTCAGAAACTGCTTTGTCATCTGTGCGTTCAGTTCACAGAGTTTCACCTTTCTCTTCATAGAGCAGTTTGGAAAGACTCTGTCTTTAAAGTCTGCAAGTGATTAGTTAGACCCCTTTGAGGCCTTCGTTGGAAGCGGGATTTCTCATTTACTGCTAGACAGAAGAATTCTCAGTAAATCCTTTGTGTTGTGTGTATTCAACTCACAGAGTGGAACCTTCCTTTATTCAGAGCAGTTTTGAAACACTCTTTTTGTGGAATTTGCAAGTGGAGATTTCAAGCGAATTCACGCCAATCTTAGACATGGAAACATCTTCGTATTAAAAGTACACAGAAGTCATTCGCAGAAACTAGTTTGTGATGTGTGCCTTCAACTCACGGAGTTTAACCTTTCTTTTCATAGAGCAGTTTGGAAACACTCTATCTGTAAAGTCTGCAAGTGGATATTTGGACCTCTTTGAGGCCTTCGTTGGAAACGGGATTTCTTCATATAACGCTAGACAGAAGAATTCTCAGTAACTTCTTTGTGTTGTGTGTATTCAACTCACAGAGTTGAACCTTTCTTGAGAGAGAGCAGAGTTGAAACACTCTTTCTGTGGAATTTGCTAGTGCAGATTTCAAACGCTTCGAAGACAGTGATAGAAAAGGATATATCTTCGTATTAAAACTAGACAAAATCATTCTCAGAAAACACTTTGTGATGTGTGTGTTCAACTCACAGAGTTTAACCTTTCTTTAATCGAGCAGTTTGGAAATACACTCTTTGTAAGTCTGCAGCTGGATAATTGTCCCTCTATGAGCCCTTCGTTGGAAACGGGATTTCCTCTTATAATGCTAGACAGAAGAATTCTCAGTCACTTCTTTGTGTTGTGTGTATTCAAGTCACAGAGTTGAACCTTCCTTTAGACAGAGCAGTTTTGAAAAATTCTTTCTGTGGAATTTGCAAGTGGAGATTTCAAGCGATTTGAGGCTAATCTTTGAAATGGAAATATCTTCGTGTAAAAACGACACAGAATCATTCTCAGAAACTGCTTTGTTATGTGTGCGTTCAGCTCACAGAGTTTCACCTTTCTTTTCATAGAGCAGTTTGGAAAGACACTGTCTGTAAAGTCTGCAAGTGATTACTTGGACCCCTTTGAGGACTTCGTTGGAAGCGGGATTTTTTCATTTACTGCTAGACAGAAGAATTCTCAGTAAATCCTTTGTGTTGTGTGTATTCAACTCACAGAGTTGAACCTTCCTTTATTCAGAGCAGTTTTGACACACTCTTTTTGTGGAATTTGCAAGTGGAGATTTCAAGCGATTTCACGCCAATCTTAGACATGGAAATATCTTCGTATTTAAAGTACACAGAATCATTCGTAGAAACTAGTTTGTGATGTGTGCCTTCAACTCACAGAGTTTGACCTTTCTTTTCATAGAGCAGTTTGGAAACACTCTGTTTGTAAAGCCTGCAAGTGCTTTTTTGGACTTCATTGAGGCCTTCGTTGGAAACGGGATTTCTTCATATAATGCTAGACAGAAGAATTCTCAGTCACTTCTTTGTGTTGTGTATATTCAAGTCACAGAGTTGAACCTTCATTTAGACAGAGCAGTTTTGAAAAACTCTTTCTGTGGAATTTGCAAGTGGAGATTACATGCGATTTAAGGCCAATCTTTGAAATGGAAATATCTCCGTGTAAAAACTAGACAGAATCATTCTCAGAAACTACTTTGTGATGTGTGCGTTCAACTCACAGGGTTTAACCTTTCTTTTCATAGAGCAGTTTGGAAACACTCTGGTTGTAAAGTCTGCAAGTGCATATTTGGACTTCTTTGAGGCCTTCGTTGGAAATGGGATTTCTTCATATAATGCCAGACAGAAGAATTCTCAGTCACTTCTTTGCGTTGTGTGTATTCAAGTCACAGAGTTGAACCTTCCTTTACACAGAGCAGTTTTGAAAAACTCTTTCTGTGGAATTTGCAAGTGGAGATTTCAAGCGATTTGAGGCTAATCTTTGAAATGGAAATATCTTCGTGTAAAAACTACACAGAATCATTCTCAGAAACTGCTTTGTCATCTGTGCGTTCAGTTCACAGAGTTTCACCTTTCTCTTCATAGAGCAGTTTGGAAAGACTCTGTCTGTAAAGTCTGCAAGTGATTAGTTAGACCCCTTTGAGGCCTTCGTTGGAAGCGGGATTTCTCATTTACTGCTAGACAGAAGAATTCTCAGTAAATCCTTTGTGTTGTGTGTATTCAACTCACAGAGTGGAACCTTCCTTTATTCAGAGCAGTTTTGAAACACTCTTTTTGTGGAAATTGCAAGTGGAGATTTCAAGCGAATTCACGCCAATCTTAGACATGGAAACATCTTCGTATTAAAAGTACACAGAGTCATTCGCAGAAACTAGTTTGTGATGTGTGCCTTCAACTCACAGAGTTTAACCTTTCTTTTCATAGAGCAGTTTGGAAACACTCTATTTGTAAAGTCTGCAAGTGGATATTTGGACCTCTTTGAGGCCTTCGTTGGAAACGGGATTTCTTCATATAACGCTAGACAGAAGAATTCTCTGTAACTTCTTTGTGTTGTGTGTATTCCACTCACAGAGTTGAACCTTTCTTGAGAGAGAGCAGAGTTGAAACACTCTTTCTGTGGAATTTGCTAGTGCAGATTTCAAACGCTTCGAAGACAGTGATAGAAAAGGATATATCTTCGTATTAAAACTAGACAAAATCATTCTCAGAAAACTCTTTGTGATGTGTGTGTTCAACTCACAGAGTTTAACCTTTCTTTAATCGAGCAGTTTGGAAATACACTCTTTGTAAGTCTGCAGGTGGATAATTGGCCCTCTTTGAGCCCTTCGTTTGAAACGGGATTTCCTCATATAATGCTAGACAGAAGAATTCTCAGTAACTTCTTTGTGTTGTTTGTATTCAACACACAGATTTGAACCTTCCTTTAGAGAGAGCAGATTTGAAACACTCTGTTTTTGGAATTTGCAAGCGCAGATTTCAAGCGCTTCTAGGCCTATGGCAGAAAAGGAAATATCTTCGTATAAAAACTACACAGAAATCATTCTCAACAACTACTTTGTGATGTGTGCGTTCAGCTCACAGAGTTTAACCTTTCTTTTCATAGAGCAGTTTGGAAACACTCTGTTTGTAAAGTCTGCAGGTGCTTATTTGGACTTCTTTGAGGCCTTCGTTGGAAACGGGATTTCTTCATATAATGCTAGACAGAAGAATTCTCAGTCACTTCTTTGTGTTGTGTGTATTCAAGTCACAGAGTTGAACCTTCCTTTAGACAGAGCAGTTTTGAAAAATTCTTTCTGTGGAGTTTGCAAGTGGAGATTTCAAGCGATTTGAGGCTAATCTTTGAAATGGAAATATCTTCGTGTAAAAACTACACAGAATCATTCTCAGAAACTGCTTTGTTATGTGTGCGTTCAGCTCACAGAGTTCCACCTTTCTTTTCATAGAGCAGTTTGGAAAGACTCTGTCTGTAAAGTCTGCAAGTGATTACTTGGACCCCTTTGAGGACTTCGTTGGAAGCGGGATTTTTTCATTTACTGCTAGACAGAAGAATTCTCAGTAAATCCTTTGTGTTGTGTGTATTCAACTCACAGAGTGGAACCTTCCTTTATTCAGAGAAGTTTTGAAAAACAGTTTTTGTGGAATTTGCAAGTGGAGATTTCAAGTGATTTGACGCCAATCTTAGACATGGAAATATCTTCATATTAAAAGTACAGAGAGTCATTCGTAGAAACTAGTTTGCGATGTGTGCCTTCAACTCACAGAGTTTAACCTTTCTTTTCATAGAGCAGTTTGCAAACACTCTATTTGTAAAGTCTGCAAGTGGATATTTGGACCTCTTTGAGGCCTACGTTGGAAAAGGGATTTCTTCATACAATGCTAGACAAAAGAATTCTCAGTAACTTCTTTGTGTTGTGTGTATTCAACTCACAGAGTTGAACGTTTCTTTAGAGAGAGCAGAGTTGAAACACTCTTTTTGTGGAATTTGCTAGTGCAGACTTCAAACGCTTCGAAGACAGTGATAGAAAAGGATATATCTTCGTATTAAAACTAGACAAAATCATTCTCAACAACTACTTTGTGATGTGTGCGTTCAACTCACAGAGTTTAACCTTTCTTTTCATAGAGCAGTTTGGAAACACTCTGTTTGTAAAGCCTGCAAGTGCTTTTTTGGAATTCATTGAGGCCTTCGTTGGAAACGGGATTTCTTCATACAACGCTAGACAGAAGAATTCTCAGTCACTTCTTTGTGTTGTGTGTATTCAAGTCACAGAGTTGAACCTTCCTTTAGACAGAGCAGTTTTGAAAAATTCTTTCTGTGGAGTTTGCAAGTGGAGATTTCAAGCGATTTGAGGCTAATCTTTGAAATGGAAATATCTTCGTGTAAAAACTACACAGAATCATTCTCAGAAACTGCTTTGTTATGTGTGCGTTCAGCTCACAGAGTTCCACCTTTCTTTTCATAGAGCAGTTTGGAAAGACTCTGTCTGTAAAGTCTGCAAGTGATTACTTGGACCTCTTTGAGGACTTCGTTGGAAGCGGGATTTTTTCATTTACTGCTAGACAGAAGAATTCTCAGTAAATCCTTTGTGTTGTGTGTATTCAACTCACAGAGTGGAACCTTCCTTTATTCAGAGCAGTTTTGAAACACTCTTTTTGTGGAATTTGCAAGTGGAGATTTCAAGCGATTTGACGCCAATCTTAGACATGGAAATATCTTCATATTAAAAGTACACAGAGTCATTCGCAGAAACTAGTTTGTGATGTGTGCCTTCAACTCACAGAGTTTAACCTTTCTTTTCATAGAGCAGTTTGGAAACACTCTATTTGTAAAGTCTGCAAGTGGATATTTGGACCTCTTTGAGGCCTTCGTTGGAAACGGGATTTCTTCATATAACGCTAGACAGAAGAATTCTCAGTAACTTCTTTGTGTTGTGTGTATTCCACTCACAGAGTTGAACCTTTCTTGAGAGAGAGCAGAGTTGAAACACTCTGTTTGTGGAATTTGCTTGTGCCGATTTCAAACGCTTCGAAGACAGTGATAGAAAAGGATATATCTTCGTATTAAAACTAGACAAAATCATTCTCAACAACTACTTTGTGATGTGTGCGTTCAACTCACAGAGTTTAACCTTTCTTTTCATAGAGCAGTTTGGAAACACTCTGTTTGTAAAGCCTGCAAGTGCTTTTTTGGACTTCATTGAGGCCTTCGTTGGAAACGGGATTTCTTCATATAATGCTAGACAGAAGAATTCTCAGTCACTTCTTTGTGTTGTGTGTATTCAAGTCACAGAGTTGAACCTTCCTTTAGACAGAGCAGTTTTGAAAAATTCTTTCTGTGTAATTTGCAAGTGGAGATTTCAAGCGATTTGAGGCTAATCTTTGAAATGGAAATATCTTCGTGTAAAAACTACACAGAATCATTCTCAACAACTACTTTGTGATGTGTGCGTTCAACTCACAGAGTTTAACCTTTCTTTTCATAGAGCAGTTTGGAATCACTCTGTTTGTAAAGCCTGCAAGTGCTTTTTTGGACTTCATTGAGGCCTTCTTTGGAAACGGGATTTCTGCATATAATGCTAGACAGAAGAATTCTCAGTAAATCCTTTGTGTTGTGTTTATTCAACTCACAGAGTGGAACCTTCCTTTATTCAGAGCAGTTTTGAAACACTCTTTTTGTGGAATTTGCAAGTGGAGATTTCAAGCGATTTGACGCCAATCTTAGACATGGAAATATCTTCATATTAAAAGTACACAGAATCATTCGTAGAAACTAGTTTGTGTTGTGTGCCTTCAACTCACAGAGTTTAACCTTTCTTTTCATAGAGCAGTTCGGAAACATTCTATTTGTAAAGTCTGCAAGTGGATATTTGGAACTCTTTGAGGCCTTCGTTGGAAAAGGGATTTCTTCATATAACGCTAGACAGAAGAATTCTCAGTAACTTCTTTGTGTTGTTTGTATTCAACTCACAGATTTGAACCTTCCTTTAGAGAGAGCAGATTTGAAACACTCTGTTTTTGGAATTTGCAAGTGCAGATTACAAGCGCTTCTAGGCCTATGGCAGAAAAGGAAATATCTTCGTATAAAAACTACACAGAATCATTCTCAACAACTACTTTGTGATGTGTGCGTTCAGCTCACAGAGTTTAACCTTTCTTTTCATAGAGCAGTTTGGAAACACTCTGTTTGTAAAGTCTGCAGGTGCTTATTTGGACTTCTTTGAGGCCTTCGTTGGAAACGGGATTTCTTCATATAATGCTAGACAGAAGAATTCTCAGTCACTTCTTTGTGTTGTGTGTATTCAAGTCACAGAGTTGAACCTTCCTTTACACAGAGCAGTTTTGAAAAACTCTTTCTGTGGAATTTGCAAGTGGAGATGTCAAGCGATTTGAGGCTAATCTTTGAAATGGAAATAGCTTCGTGTAAAAACTACACAGAATCATTCTCAGAAACTGCTTTGTCATCTGTGCGTTCAGTTCACAGAGTTTCACCTTTCTCTTCATAGAGCAGTTTGGAAAGACTCTGTCTGTAAAGTCTGCAAGTGATTAGTTAGACCCCTTTGAGGCCTTCGTTGGAAGCGGGATTTCTCATTTACTGCTAGACAGAAGAATTCTCAGTAAATCCTTTGTGTTGTGTGTATTCAACTCACAGAGTGGAACCTTCCTTTATTCAGAGCAGTTTTGAAACACTCTTTTTGTGGAATTTGCAAGTGGAGATTTCAAGCGAATTCACGCCAATCTTAGACATGGAAACATCTTCGTATTAAAAGTACACAGAGTCATTCGTAGAAACTAGTTTGTGATGTGTGCCTTCAACTCACAGAGTTTAACCTTTCTTTTCATAGAGCAGTTTGGAAACACTCTATTTGTAAAGTCTGCAAGTGGATATTTGGACCTCTTTGAGGCCTTCGTTGGAAACGGGATTTCTTCATACAACGCTAGACAGAAGAATTCTCTGTAACTTCTTTGTGTTGTGTGTATTCCACTCACAGAGTTGAACCTTTCTTGATAGAGAGCAGAGTTGAAACACTCTGTTTTTGGAATTTGCAAGTGCAGATTTCAAGCGCTTCTAGGCCTATGGCAGAAAAGGAAATATCTTCGTATAAAAACTACACAGAATCATTCTCAGAAAACACTTTGTGATGTGTGTGTTCAACTCACAGAGTTTAACCTTTCTTTAATCGAGCAGTTTGGAAATACACTCTTTGTAAGTCTGCAGCTGGATAATTGTCCCTCTATGAGCCCTTCGTTGGAAACGGGATTTCCTCTTATAATGCTAGACAGAAGAATTCTCAGTCACTTCTTTGTGTTGTGTGTATTCAAGTCACAGAGTTGAACCTTCTTTTAGACAGAGCAGTTTTGAAAAATTTTTTCTGTGGAATTTGCAAGTGGAGATTTCAAGCGATTTGAGGCTAATCTTTGAAATGGAAATATCTTCGTGTAAAAACTACACAGAATCATTCTCAGAAACTGCTTTGTTATGTGTGCGTTCAGCTCACAGAGTTCCACCTTTCTTTTCATAGAGCAGTTTGGAAAGACTCTGTCTGTAAAGTCTGCAAGTGATTACTTGGACCCCTTTGAGGACTTCGTTGGAAGCGGGATTTTTTCATTTACTGCTAGACAGAAGAATTCTCAGTAAATCCTTTGTGTTGTGTGTATTCAACTCACAGAGTGGAACCTTCCTTTATTCAGAGCAGTTTTGAAACACTCTTTTTGTGGAATTTGCAAGTGGAGATTTCAAGCGAATTCACGCCAATCTTAGACATGGAAACATCTTCGTATTAAAAGTACACAGAATCATTCGTAGAAACTAGTTTGTGATGTGTGCCTTCAACTCACAGAGTTTAACCTTTCTTTTCATAGAGCAGTTCGGAAACATTCTATTTGTAAAGTCTGCAAGTGGATATTTGGACCTCTTTGAGGCCTTCGTTGGAAAAGGGATTTCTTCATATAACGCTAGACAGAAGAATTCTCAGTAACTTCTTTGTGTTGTGTGTATTCAACTCACAGAGTTGAACCTTTCTTTAGAGAGAGCAGAGTTGAAACACTCTTTTTGTGGAATTTGCTAGTGCAGATTTCAAACGCTTCGAAGACAGTGATAGAAAAGGATATATCTTCGTATTAAAAGTAGACAAAATCTTTCTCAGAAAACTCTTTGTGATGTGTGTGTTCAACTCACAGAGTTTAACCTTTCTTTTCATAGAGCAGTTTGGAAACACTCTGTTTGTAAAGCCTGCAAGTGCTTTTTTGTACTTCATTGAGGCCTTCGTTGGAAACGGGATTTCTTCATACAACGCTAGACAGAAGAATTCTCAGTAACTTCTTTGTGTTGTGTGTATTCAAGTCACAGAGTTGAACCTTCCTTTAGACAGAGCAGTTTTGAAAAATTCTTTCTGTGTAATTTGCAAGTGGAGATTTCAAGCGATTTGAGGCTAATCTTTGAAATGGAAATATCTTCGTGTAAAAACTACACAGAATCATTCTCAGAAACTGCTTTGTCATCTGTGCGTTCAGTTCACAGAGTTTCACCTTTCTCTTCATAGAGCAGTTTGGAAAGACTCTGTCTGTAAAGTCTGCAAGTGATTAGTTAGACCCCTTTAAGGCCTTCGTTGGAAGCGGGATTTCTCATTTACTGCTAGACAGAAGAATTCTCAGTAAATCCTTTGTGTTGTGTGTATTCAACTCACAGAGTGGAACCTTCCTTTATTCAGAGCAGTTTTGAAACACTCTTTTTGTGGAATTTGCAAGTGGAGATTTCAAGCGATTTGACGCCAATCTTAGACATGGAAATATCTTCATATTAAAAGTACACAGAGTCATTCGTAGAAACTAGTTTGTGATGTGTGCCTTCAACTCACAGAGTTTAACCTTTCTTTTCATAGAGCAGTTGGGAAACACTCTATTTGTAAAGTCTGCAAGTGGATATTTGGACCTCTTTGAGGCCTTCGTTGGAAACGGGATTTCTTCATATAACGCTAGACAGAAGAATTCTCAGTAACTTCTTTGTGTTGTGTGTATTCAACTCACAGAGTTGAACCTTTCTTGAGAGGGAGCAGCAGTGAAACACTCTTTTTGTGGAATTTGCTAGTGTAGATTTCAAACGCTTCGAAGACAGTGATAGAAAAGGATATATCTTCGTATTAAAAGTAGACAAAATCATTCTCAACAACTACTTTGTGATGTGTGCGTTCAACTCACAGAGTTTAACCTTTCTTTTCATAGAGCAGTTTGGAAACACTCTGTTTGTAAAGCCTGCAAGTGCTTTTTTGGACTTCATTGAGGCCTTCGTTGGAAACGGGATTTCTTCATATAATGCTAGACAGAAGAATTCTCAGTCACTTCTTTGTGTTGTGTGTATTCAAGTCACAGAGTTGAACCTTCCTTTAGACAGAGCAGTTTTGAAAAATTCTTTCTGTGTAATTTGCAAGTGGAGATTTCAAGCGATTTGAGGCTAATCTTTGAAATGGAAATATCTTCGTGTAAAAACTACACAGAATCATTGTCAGAAACTGCTTTGTTATGTGTGCGTTCAGCTCACAGAGTTCCACCTTTCTTTTCATAGAGCAGTTTGGAAAGACTCTGTCTGTAAAGTCTGCAAGTGATTACTTGGACCCCTTTGAGGACTTCGTTGGAAGCGGGATTTTTTCATTTACTGCTAGACAGAAGAATTCTCAGTAAATCCTTTGTGTTGTGTGTATTCAACTCACAGAGTGGAACCTTCCTTTATTCAGAGCAGTTTTGAAACACTCTTTTTGTGGAATTTGCAAGTGGAGATTTCAAGCGAATTCACGCCCATCTTAGACATGGAAACATCTTCGTATTAAAAGTACACAGAGTCATTCGCAGAAACTAGTTTGTGATGTGTGCCTTCAACTCACGGAGTTTAACCTTTCTTTTCATAGAGCAGTTTGGAAACACTCTATTTGTAAGTCTGCAAGTGGATATTTGGACCTCTTTGAGGCCTTCGTTGGAAACGGGATTTCTTCATATAACGCTAGACAGAAGAATTCTCAGTAACTTCTTTGTGTTGTTTGTATTCAACTCACAGATTTGAACCTTCCTTTGGAGAGAGCAGATTTGAAACACTCTGTTTTTGGAATTTGCAAGTGCAGATTGCAAGCGCTTCTAGGCCTATGGCAGAAAAGGAAATATCTTCGTATAAAAACTACACAGAAATCATTCTCAACAACTACTTTGTGATGTGTGCGTTCAACTCACAGCAGTTTAACCTTTCTTTTCATAGAGCAGTTTGGAAACACTCTGTTTGTAAAGTCTGCAGGTGCTTATTTGGACTTCTTTGAGGCCTTCGTTGGAAACGGGATTTCTTCATATAATGCTAGACAGAAGAATTCTCAGTCACTTCTTTGTGTTGTGTGTATTCAAGTCACAGAGTTGAACCTTCCTTTACACAGAGCAGTTTTGAAAAACTCTTTCTGTGGAATTTGCAAGTGGAGATTTCAAGCGATTTGAGGCTAATCTTTGAAATGGAAATATCTTCGTGTAAAAACTACACAGAATCATTGTCAGAAACTGCTTTGTTATGTGTGCGTTCAGCTCACAGAGTTCCACCTTTCTTTTCATAGAGCAGTTTGGAAAGACTCTGTCTGTAAAGTCTGCAAGTGATTACTTGGACCCCTTTGAGGACTTCGTTGGAAGCGGGATTTTTTCATTTACTGCTAGACAGAAGAATTCTCAGTAAATCCTTTGTGTTGTGTGTATTCAACTCACAGAGTGGAACCTTCCTTTATTCAGAGCAGTTTTGAAACACTCTTTTTGTGGAATTTGCAAGTGGAGATTTCAAGCGAATTCACGCCAATCTTAGACATGGAAACATCTTCGTATTAAAAGTACACAGAATCATTCTCAACAACTACTTTGTGATGTGTGCGTTCAACTCACAGAGTTTAACCTTTCTTTTCATAGAGCAGTTTGGAAACACTCTGGTTGTAAAGCCTGCAAGTGGTTTTTTGGACTTCATTGAGGCCTTCGTTGGAAACGGGATTTCTTCATAGAACGCTAGACAGAAGAATTCTCAGTAACTTCTTTGTGTTGTGTGTATTCAACTCACAGAGTTGAACCTTTCTTTTGAGAGAGCAGAGTTGAAACACTCTGTTTTTGGAATTTGCAAGTGCAGATTTCAAGCGATTCTAGGCCTATGGCAGAAAAGGAAATATCTTCGTGTAAAAACTACACAGAATCATTCTCAACAACTACTTTGTGATGTGTGCGTTCAACTCACAGAGTTTAACCTTTCTTTTCATAGAGCAGTTTGGAAACACTCTGTTTGTAAAGCCTGCAAGTGCTTTTTTGGACTTCATTGAGGCCTTCGTTGGAAACGGGATTTCTTCATATAATGCTAGACAGAAGAATTCTCAGTCACTTCTTTGTATTGTGTGTATTCAAGTCACAGAGTTGAACCTTCCTTTAGACAGAGCAGTTTTGAAAAATTCTTTCTGTGGAGTTTGCAAGTGGAGATTTCAAGCGATTTGAGGCTAATCTTTGAAATGGAAATATCTTCGTGTAAAAACTACACAGAATCATTCTCAGAAACTGCTTTGTTATGTGTGCGTTCAGCTCACAGAGTTCCACCTTTCTTTTCATAGAGCAGTTTGGAAAGACTCTGTCTGTAAAGTCTACAAGTGATTACTTGGACCCCTTTGAGGACTTCGTTGAAAGCGGGATTTTTTCATTTACTGCTAGACAGAAGAATTCTCAGTAAATCCTTTGTGTTGTGTGTATTCAACTCACAGAGTGGAACCTTCCTTTATTCAGAGCACTTTTGAAACACTCTTTTTGTGGAATTTGCAAGTGGAGATTTCAAGCGAATTCACGCCAATCTTAGACATGGAAACATCTTCGTATTAAAAGTACACAGAGTCATTCGCAGAAACTAGTTTGTGATGTGTGCCTTCAACTCACAGAGTTTAACCTTTCTTTTCATAGAGCAGTTTGGAAACACTCTATTTGTAAAGTCTGCAAGTGGATATTTGGACCTCTTTGAGGCCTTCGTTGGAAACGGGATTTCTTCATATAACGCTAGACAGAAGAATTCTCAGTAACTTCTTTGTGTTGTGTGTATTCCACTCACAGAGTTGAACCTTTCTTGAGAGAGAGCAGAGTTGAAACACTCTGTTTGTGGAATTTGCTAGTGCAGATTTCAAACGCTTCGAAGACAGTGATAGAAAAGGATATATCTTCGTATTAAAACTAGACAAAATCATTCTCAGAAAACACTTTGTGATGTGTGTGTTCAACTCACAGAGTTTAACCTTTCTTTAATCGAGCAGTTTGGAAATACACTCTTTGTAAGTCTGCAGCTGGATAATTGTCCCTCTATGAGCCCTTCGTTGGAAACGGGATTTCCTCTTATAATGCTAGACAGAAGAATTCTCAGTCACTTCTTTGTGTTGTGTGTATTCAAGTCACAGAGTTGAACCTTCCTTTACACAGAGCAGTTTTGAAAAACTCTTTCTGTGGAATTTGCAAGTGGAGATTTCAAGCGATTTGAGGCTAATCTTTGAAATGGAAATAGCTTCGTGTAAAAACCACACAGAATCATTCTCAGAAACTGCTTTGTCATCTGTGCGTTCAGTTCACAGAGTTTCACCTTTCTCTTCATAGAGCAGTTTGGAAAGACTCTGTCTATAAAGTCTGCAAGTGATTAGTTAGACCCCTTTGAGGCCTTCGTTGGAAGCGGGATTTCTCATTTACTGCTAGACAGAAGAATTCTCAGTAAATCCTTTGTGTTGTGTGTATTCAACTCACAGAGTGGAACCTTCCTTTATTCAGAGCAGTTTTGAAACACTCTTTTTGTGGAATTTGCAAGTGGAGATTTCAAGCGATTTGACGCCAATCTTAGACATGGAAATATCTTCATATTAAAAGTACACAGAGTCATTCGTAGAAACTAGTTTGTGATGTGTGCCTTCAACTCACAGAGTTTAACCTTTCTTTTCATAGAGCAGTTGGGAAACACTCTATTTGTAAAGTCTGCAAGTGGATATTTGGACCTCTTTGAGGCCTTCGTTGGAAACGGGATTTCTTCATATAACGCTAGACAGAAGAATTCTCTGTAACTTCTTTGTGTTGTGTGTATTCCACTCACAGAGTTGAACCTTTCTTGAGAGAGAGCAGAGTTGAAACACTCTTTCTGTGGAATTTGCTAGTGCAGATTTCAAACGCTTCGAAGACAGTGATAGAAAAGGATATATCTTCGTATTAAAACTAGACAAAATCATTCTCAGAAAACACTTTGTGATGTGTGTGTTCAACTCACAGAGTTTAACCTTTCTTTAATCGAGCAGTTTGGAAATGCACTCTTTGTAAGTCTGCAGGTGGATAATTGTCCCTCTATGAGCCCTTCGTTGGAAACGGGATTTCCTCATATAATGCTAGACAGAAGAATTCTCAGTCACTTCTTTGTGTTGTGTGTATTCAAGTCACAGAGTTGAACCTTCCTTTAGACAGAGCAGTTTTGAAAAATTCTTTCTGTGGAGTTTGCAAGTGGAGATTTCAAGCGATTTGAGGCTAATCTTTGAAATGGAAATATCTTCGTGTAAAAACTACACAGAATCATTCTCAGAAACTGCTTTGTTATCTGTGCGTTCAGTTCACAGAGTTTCACCTTTCTCTTCATAGAGCAGTTTGGAAAGACTCTGTCAGTAAAGTCTGCAAGTGATTACTTGGACCCCTTTGTGGACTTCGTTTGAAGCGGGATTTTTTCATTTACTGCTAGACAGAAGAATTCTCAGTAAATCCTTTGTGTTGTGTGTATTCAACTCACAGAGTGGAACCTTCCTTTATTCAGAGCAGTTTTGAAACACTCTTTTTGTGGAATTTGCAAGTGGAGATTTCAAGCGATTTGACGCCAATCTTAGACATGGAAATATCTTCATATTAAAAGTACACAGGAGTCATTCGTAGAAACTAGTTTGTGATGTGTGCCTTCAACTCACAGAGTTTAACCTTTCTTTTCATAGAGCAGTTGGGAAACACTCTATTTGTAAAGTCTGCAAGTGGATATTTGGACCTCTTTGAGGCCTTCGTTGGAAACGGGATTTCTTCATATAACGCTAGACAGAAGAATTCTCAGTAACTTCTTTGTGTTGTGTGTATTCAACTCACAGAGTTGAACCTTTCTTTAGAGGGAGCAGAGGTGAAACACTCTTTTTGTGGAATTTGCTAGTGTAGATTTCAAACGCTTCGAAGACAGTGATAGAAAAGGATATATCTTCGTATTAAAAGTAGACAAAATCATTCTCAGAAAACTCTTTGTGATGTGTGTGTTCAACTCACAGAGTTTAACCTTTCTTTAATCGAGCAGTTTGGAAATACACTCTTTGTAAGTCTGCAGGTGGATATTTGGCCCTCTTTGAGCCCTTCGTTGGAAACGGGATTTCCTCATATAATGCTAGACAGAAGAATTCTCAGTAACTTCTTTGTGTTGTTTGTATTCAACACACAGATTTGAACCTTCCTTTAGAGAGAGCAGATTTGAAACACTCTGTTTTTGGAATTTGCAAGTGCAGATTTCAAGCGCTTCTAGGCCTATGGCAGAAAAGGAAATATCTTCGTATAAAAACTACACAGAATCATTCTCAACAACTACTTTGTGATGTGTGCGTTCAACTCACAGAGTTTAACCTTTCTTTTCATAGAGCAGTTTGGAAACACTCTGTTTGTAAAGCCTGCAAGTGCTTTTTTGGACTTCATTGAGGCCTTCGTTGGAAACGGGATTTCTTCATATAATGCTAGACAGAAGAATTCTCAGTCACTTCTTTGTGTTGTGTGTATTCAAGTCACAGAGTTGAACCTTCCTTTAGACAGAGCAGTTTTGAAAAATTCTTTCTGTGGAGTTTGCAAGTGGAGATTTCCAGCGATTTGAGGCTAATCTTTGAAATGGAAATATCTTCGTGTAAAAACTACACAGAATCATTCTCAGAAACTGCTTTGTTATCTGTGCGTTCAGTTCACAGAGTTTCACCTTTCTCTTCATAGAGCAGTTTGGAAAGACTCTGTCTGTAACGTCTGCAAGTGATTAGTTAGACCCCCTTGAGGCCTTCGTAGGAAGCGGGATTTCTCATTTACTGCTAGACAAAAGAATTCTCAGTAAATCCTTTGTGTTGTGTGTATTCAACTCACAGAGTTGAACCTTCCTTTATTCAGAGAAGTTTTGAAAAACAATTTTTGTGGAATTTGCAAGTGGAGATTTCAAGCGATTTGACGCCAATCGTAGACGTGGAAATATCTTCATATTAAAAGTACACAGAGTCATTCGTAGAAACTAGATTGTGATGTGTGCCTTCATCTCACAGAGTTTAACCTTTCTTTTCATAGAGCAGTTTGGAAACACTCTATTTGTAAAGTCTGCAAGTGGATATTTGGACCTCTTTGAGGCCTTCGTTGGAAACGGGATTTCTTCATATAACGCTAGACAGAAATAATTCTCAGTAACTTCTTTGTGTTGTTTGTATTCAACTCACAGATTTGAACCTTCCTTTGGAGAGAGCAGATTTGAAACACTCTGTTTTTGGAATTTGCAAGTGCAGATTGCAAGCGCTTCTAGGCCTATGGCAGAAAAGGAAATATCTTCGTATAAAAACTACACAGGAATCATTCTCAACAACTACTTTGTGATGTGTGCGTTCAACTCACAGAGTTTAACCTTTCTTTTCATAGAGCAGTTTGGAAACACTCTGTTTGTAAAGCGTGCAAGTGCTTTTTTGGACTTCATTGAGGCCTTCGTTGGAAACGGGATTTCTTCATACAACGCTAGACAGAAGAATTCTCAGTCACTTCTTTGTGTTGTGTGTATTCAAGTCACAGAGTTGAACCTTCCTTTACACAGAGCAGTTTTGAAAAACTCTTTCTGTGGAATTTGCAAGTGGAGATTTCAAGCGATTTGAGGCTAATCTTTGAAATGGAAATATCTTCGTGTAAAAACTACACAGAATCATTCTCAGAAACTGCTTTGTTATGTGTGCGTTCAGCTCACAGAGTTCCACCTTTCTTTTCATAGAGCAGTTTGGAAAGACTCTGTCTGTAAAGTCTGCAAGTGATTACTTGGACCCCTTTGAGGACTTCGTTGGAAGCGGGATTTTTTCATTTACTGCTAGACAGAAGAATTCTCAGTAAATCCTTTGTGTTGTGTGTATTCAACTCACAGAGTGGAACCTTCCTTTATTCAGAGCAGTTTTGAAACACTCTTTTTGTGGAATTTGCAAGTGGAGATTTCAAGCGATTTGACGCCAATCTTAGACATGGAAATATCTTCATATTAAAAGTACACAGAGTCATTCGCAGAAACTAGTTTGTGATGTGTGCCTTCAACTCACGGAGTTTAACCTTTCTTTTCATAGAGCAGTTTGGAAACACTCTATTTGTAAAGTCTGCAAGTGGATATTTGGACCTCTTTGAGGCCTTCGTTGGAAACGGGATTTCTTCATATAACGCTAGACAGAAGAATTCTCAGTAACTTCTTTGTGTTGTGTGTATTCCACTCACAGAGTTGAACCTTTCTTGAGAGAGAGCAGAGTTGAAACACTCTTTTTGTGGAATTTGCTAGTGCAGATTTCAAACGCTTCGAAGACAGTGATAGAAAAGGATATATCTTCGTATTAAAACTAGACAAAATCATTCTCAGAAAACACTTTGTGATGTGTGTGTTCAACTCACAGAGTTTAACCTTTCTTTAATCGAGCAGTTTGGAAATACACTCTTTGTAAGTCTGCAGCTGGATAATTGTCCCTCTATGAGCCCTTCGTTGGAAACGGGATTTCCTCTTATAATGCTAGACAGAAGAATTCTCAGTCACTTCTTTGTGTTGTGTGTATTCAAGTCACAGAGTTGAACCTTCCTTTACACAGAGCAGTTTTGAAAAACTCTTTCTGTGGAATTTGCAAGTGGAGATTTCAAGCGATTTGAGGCTAATCTTTGAAATGGAAATATCTTCGTGTAAAAACTACACAGAATCATTCTCAGAAACTGATTTGTTATCTGCTGCGTTCAGTTCACAGAGTTTCACCTTTCTCTTCATAGAGCAGTTTGGAAAGACTCTGTCTGTGAAGTCTGCAAGTGATTAGTTAGACCCCTTTGAGGACCTTCGTTGGAAGCGGGATTTCTCATTTACTGCTAGACAGAAGAATTCTCAGTAAATCCTTTGTGTTGTGTGTATTCAACTCACAGAGTGGAACCTTCCTTTATTCAGAGCAGTTTTGAAACACTCTTTTTGTGGAATTTGCAAGTGGAGATTTCAAGCGATTTGACGCCAATCTTAGACATGGAAATATCTTCATATTAAAAGTACACAGAGTCATTCGCAGAAACTAGTTTGTGATGTGTGCCTTCAACTCACGGAGTTTAACCTTTCTTTTCATAGAGCAGTTTGGAAACACTCTATTTGTAAAGTCTGCAAGTGGATATTTGGACCTCTTTGAGGCCTTCGTTGGAAACGGGATTTCTTCATATAACGCTAGACAGAAGAATTCTCAGTAACTTCTTTGTGTTGTGTGTATTCAACTCACAGAGTTGAACCTTTCTTGAGAGAGAGCAGAGTTGAAACACTCTGTTTGTGGAATTTGCTAGTGCAGATTTCAAACGCTTCGAAGACAGTGATAGAAAAGGATATCTTCGTATTAAAACTAGACAAAATCATTCTCAGAAAACACTTTGTGATGTGTGTGTTCAACTCACAGAGTTTAACCTTTCTTTAATCGAGCAGTTTGGAAATACACTCTTTGTAAGTCTGCAGCTGGATAATTGTCCCTCTATGAGCCCTTCGTTGGAAACGGGATTTCCTCTTATAATGCTAGACAGAAGAATTCTCAGTCACTTCTTTGTGTTGTGTGTATTCAAGTCACAGAGTTGAACCTTCCTTTAGACAGAGCAGTTTTGAAAAATTGTTTCTGTGGAGTTTGCAAGTGGAGATTTCAAGCGATTTGAGGCTAATCTTTGAAATGGAAATATCTTCGTGTAAAAACTACACAGAAGCATTCTCAGAAACTGCTTTGTCATCTGTGCGTTCAGTTCACAGAGTTTCACCTTTCTCTTCATAGAGCAGTTTGGAAAGACTCTGTCTGTAAAGTCTGCAAGTGATTAGTTAGACCCCTTTGACGCCTTCGTTGGAAGCGGGATTTCTCATTTACTGCTTGACAGAAGAATTCTCAGTAAATCCTTTGTGTTGTGTGTATTCAACTCACAGAGTGGAACCTTCCTTTATTCAGAGCAGTTTTGAAAAACCCTTTTTGTGGAATTTCCAAGTGGAGATTTCAAGCGATTTGACGCCAATCTTAGACATGGAAATATCTTCATATTAAAAGTACACAGAGTCATTCGTAGAAACTAGTTTGTGATGTGTGCCTTCAACTCACAGAGTTTAACCTTTCTTTTCATAGAGCAGTTGGGAAACACTCTATTTGTAAAGTCTGCAAGTGGATATTTGGACCTCTTTGAGGCCTTCGTTGGAAACGGGATTTCTTCATATAACGCTAGACAGAAGAATTCTCAGTAACTTTTTTGTGTTGTGTGTATTCAACTCACAGAGTTGAATCTTTCTTTAGAGAGAGCAGAGTTGAAACACTCTGTTTTTGGAATTTGCAAGTGCAGATTTCAAGCGCTTCTAGGCCTATGGCAGAAAAGGAAATATCTTCGTATAAAAACTACACAGAATCATTCTCAACAACTACTTTGTGATGTGTGCATTCAACTCACAGAGTTTAACCTTTCTTTTCATAGAGCAGTTTGGAAACAGTCTGTTTGTAAAGCCTGCAAGTGCTTTTTTGGACTTCATTGAGGCCTTCGTTGGAAACGGGATTTCTTCATATAATGCTAGACAGAAGAATTCTCAGTCACTACTTTGTGTTGTGTGTATTCAAGTCACAGAGTTGAACTTTCCTTTAGACAGAGCAGTTTTGAAAAATTCTTTCTGTGGAGTTTGCAAGCGGAGATTTCAAGCGATTTGAGGCTAATCTTTGAAATGGAAATATCTTCGTGTAAAAACTACACAGAAGCATTCTCAGAAACTGCTTTGTCATCTGTGCGTTCAGTTCACAGAGTTTCACCTTTCTCTTCATAGAGCAGTTTGGAAAGACTCTGTCTGTAAAGTCTGCAAGTGATTAGTTAGACCCCTTTGAGGCCTTCGTTGGAAGCGGGATTTCTCATTTACTGCTAGACAGAAGAATTCTCAGTAAATCCTTTGTGTTGTGTGTATTCAACTCACAGAGTTGAACCTTCCTTTATTCAGAGCAGTTTTGAAACACTCTTTTTGTGGAATTTGCAAGTGGAGATTTCAAGCGAATTCACGCCAATCTTAGACATGGAAACATCTTCGTATTAAAAGTACACAGAGTCATTCGTAGAAACTAGATTGTGATGTGTGCCTTCAACTCACAGAGTTTAACCTTTCTTTTCATAGAGCAGTTCGGAAACACTCTATTTGTAAAGTCTGCAAGTGGATATTTGGACCTCTTTGAGGCCTTCGTTGGAAACGGGATTTCTTCATATAAAGCTAGACAGAAGAATTTTCAGTAACTTCTTTGTGTTGTGTGTATTCAACTCACAGAGTTGAACCTTTCTTTAGAGAGAGCAGAGTTGAAACACTCTTTTTGTGGAATTTGCTAGTGCAGATTTCAAACGCTTCGAAGACAGTGATAGCAAAGGATATACCTTCGTATTAAAACTAGACAAAATCATTCTCAGAAAACTCTTTGTGATGTGTGTGTTCAACTCACAGAGTTTAACCTTTCTTTAATCGAGCAGTTTGGAAATACACTCTTTGTAAGTCTGCAGGTGGATAATTGGCACTCTTTGAGGCCTTCGTTGGAAACGGGATTTCCTCATATAATGCTAGACAGAAGAATTCTCAGTAACTTCTTTGTGTTGTTTGTATTCAACTCACAGATTTGAACCTTCCTTTAGAGAGAGCAGATTTGAAACACTCTGTTTTTGGAATTTGCAAGTGCAGATTTCAAGCGCTTCTAGGCCTATGGCAGAAAAGGAAATATCTTCGTATAAAAACTACACAGAATCATTCTCAACAACTACTTTGTGATGTGTGCGTTCAACTCACAGAGTTTAACCTTTCTTTTCATAGAGCAGTTTGGAAACACTCTGTTTGTAAAGCCTGCAAGTGCTTTTTTGGACTTCATTGAGGCCTTCGTTGGAAACGGGATTTCTTCATATAATGCTAGACAGAAGAATTCTCAGTCACTTCTTTGTGTTGTGTGTATTCAAGTCACAGAGTTGAACCTTCTTTTAGACAGAGCAGTTTTGAAAAATTCTTTCTGTGGAATTTGCAATTGGAGATTTTAAGAGATTTGAGGCTAATCTTTGAAATGGAAATATCTTCGTGTAAAAACTACACAGAATCATTCTCAGAAACTGCTTTGTTATGTGTGCGTTCAGCTCACAGAGTTCCACCTTTCTTTTCATAGAGCAGTTTGGAAAGACTCTGTCTGTAAAGTCTGCAAGTGATTACTTGGACCCCTTTGAGGACTTCGTTGGAAGCGGGATTTTTTCATTTACTGCTAGACAGAAGAATTCTCAGTAAATCCTTTCTGTTGTGTGTATTCAACTCACAGAGTGGAACCTTCCTTTATTCAGAGCAGTTTTGAAACACTCTTTTTGTGGAATTTGCAAGTGGAGATTTCAAGCGATTTGACGCCAATCTTAGACATGGAAATATCTTCATATTAAAAGTACACAGAGTCATTCGTAGAAACTAGTTTGTGATGTGTGCCTTCAACTCACAGAGTTTAACCTTTCTTTTCATAGAGCAGTTGGGAAACACTCTATTTGTAAAGTCTGCAAGTGGATATTTGGACCTCTTTGAGGCCTTCGTTGGAAACGGGATTTCTTCATACAACGCTAGACAGAAGAATTCTCAGTAACTTCTTTGTGTTGTGTGTATTCCACTCACAGAGTTGAACCTTTCTTGAGAGAGAGCAGAGTTGAAACACTCTGTTTGTGGAATTTGCTAGTGCAGATTTCAAACGCTTCGAAGACAGTGATAGAAAAGGATATATCTTCGTATTAAAACTAGACAAAATCATTCTCAGAAAACACTTTGTGATGTGTGTGTTCAACTCACAGAGTTTAACCTTTCTTTAATCGAGCAGTTTGGAAATACACTCTTTGTAAGTCTGCAGCTGGATAATTGTCCCTCTATGAGCCCTTCGTTGGAAACAGGATTTCCTCTTATAATGCTAGACAGAAGAATTCTCAGTCACTTCTTTGTGTTGTGTGTATTCAAGTCACAGAGTTGAACCTTCCTTTACACAGAGCAGTTTTGAAAAACTCTTTCTGTGGAATTTGCAAGTGGAGATTTCAAGCGATTTGAGGCTAATCTTTGAAATGGAAATATCTTCGTGTAAAAACTACACAGAATCATTGTCAGAAACTGCTTTGTTATGTGTGCGTTCAGCTCACAGAGTTCCACCTTTCTTTTCATAGAGCAGTTTGGAAAGACTCTGTCTGTAAAGTCTGCAAGTGATTACTTGGACCCCTTTGAGGACTTCGTTGGAAGCGGGATTTTTTCATTTACTGCTAGACAGAAGAATTCTCAGTAAATCCTTTGTGTTGTGTGTATTCAACTCACAGAGTGGAACCTTCCTTTATTCAGAGCAGTTTTGAAACACTCTTTTTGTGGAATTTGCAAGTGGAGATTTCAAGCGAATTCACGCCAATCTTAGACATGGAAACATCTTCGTATTAAAAGTACACAGAGTCATTCGCAGAAACTAGTTTGTGATGTGTGCCTTCAACTCACGGAGTTTAACCTTTCTTTTCATAGAGCAGTTTGGAAACACTCTATTTGTAAAGTCTGCAAGTGGATATTTGGACCTCTTTGAGGCCTTCGTTGGAAACGGGATTTCTTCATATAACGCTAGACAGAAGAATTCTCAGTAACTTCTTTGTGTTGTGTGTATTCAACTCACAGAGTTGAACCTTTCTTGAGAGAGAGCAGAGTTGAAACACTCTGTTTGTGGAATTTGCCAGTGCAGATTTCAAACGCTTCGAAGACAATGATAGAAAAGGATATATCTTCGTATTAAAACTAGACAAAATCATTCTCAGAAAACACTTTGTGATGTGTGTGTTCAACTCACAGAGTTTAACCTTTCTTTAATCGATCAGTTTGGAAATACACTCTTTGTAAGTCTGCAGCTGGATAATTATCCCTCTATGAGCCCTTCGTTGCAAACGGGATTTCCTCATATAATGCTAGACAGAAGAATTCTCAGTAACTTCTTTGTGTTGTTTGTATTCCACTCACAGATTTGAACCTTCCTTTGGAGAGAGCAGATTTGAAACACTCTGTTTTTGGAATTTGCAAGTGCAGATTGCAAGCGCTTCTAGGCCTATGGCAGAAAAGGAAATATCTTCGTATAAAAACTACACAGAATCATTCTCAACAACTACTTTGTGATGTGTGCGTTAAACTCACAGTTTAACCTTTCTTTTCATAGAGCAGTTTGGAAACACTCTGTTTGTAAAGCCTGCAAGTGCTTTTTTGGACTTCATTGAGGCCTTCGTTGGAAACGGGATTTCTTCATATAATGCTAGACAGAAGAATTCTCAGTAACTTCTTTGTGTTGTGTGTATTCAAGTCACAGAGTTGAACCTTCTTTTAGACAGAGCAGTTTTGAAAAATTCTTTCTGTGGAATTTGCAAGTGGAGATTTCAAGCGATTTGAGGCTAATCTTTGAAATGGAAATATCTTCGTGTCAAAACTACACAGAATCATTCTCAGAAACTGCTTTGTTATCTGTGCGTTCAGTTCACAGAGTTTAACCTTTCTCTTCATAGAGCAGTTTGGAAAGACTCTATCTGTAAAGTCCGCAAGTGATTAGTTAGACCCCTTTGAGGCCTTCGTTGGAAGCGGGATTTCCCATTTACTGCTAGACAGAAGAATTCTCAGTAAATCCTTTGTGTTGTGTGTATTCAACTCACAGAGTGGAACCTTCCTTTATTCAGAGCAGTTTTGAAACACTCTTTTTGTGGAATTTGCAAGTGGAGATTTCAAGCGAATTCACGCCAATCTTAGACATGGAAACATCTTCGTATTAAAAGTACACAGAGTCATTCGCAGAAACTGGTTTGTGATGTGTGCCTTCAACTCACAGTGTTTAACCTTTCTTTTCATAGAGCAGTTTGGAAACACTCTATTTGTAAAGTCTGCAAGTGGATATTTGGACCTCTTTGAGGCCTTCGTTGGAAACGGGATTTCTTCATATAACGCTAGACAGAAGAATTCTCAGTAACTTCTTTGTGTTGTTTGTATTCAACACACAGATTTGAACCTTCCTTTAGAGAGAGCAGATTTGAAACACTCTGTTTTTGGAATTTGCAAGTGCAGATTTCAAGCGCTTCTAGGCCTATGGCAGAAAAGGAAATATCTTCGTATAAAAACTACACAGAAACATTCTCAGAAACTACTTTGTGATGTGTGTGTTCAACTCACAGGGTTTAACCTTTCTTTTCATAGAGCAGTTTGGAAACACTCTGGTTGTAAAGTCTGCAAGTGCATATTTGGACTTCTTTGAGGCCTTCATTGGAAACGGGATTTCTTCATATAATGCTAGACAGAAGTATTCTCAGTCACTTCTTTGTGTTGTGTGTATTCAAGTCACAGAGTTGAACCTTCCTTTAGACAGAGCAGTTTTGAAAAATTCTTTCTGTGGAATTTGCAAGTGGAGATTTCAAGCGATTTGAGGCTAATCTTTGAAATGGAAATATCTTCGTGTAAAAACTACACAGAATCATTGTCAGAAACTGCTTTGTTATGTGTGCGTTCAGCTCACAGAGTTCCACCTTTCTTTTCATAGAGCAGTTTGGAAAGACTCTGTCTGTAAAGTCTGCAAGTGATTACTTGGACCCCTTTGAGGACTTCGTTGGAAGCGGGATTTTTTCATTTACTGCTAGACAGAAGAATTCTCAGTAAATCCTTTGTGTTGTGTGTATTCAACTCACAGAGTGGAACCTTCCTTTATTCAGAGCAGTTTTGAAACACTCTTTTTGTGGAACTTGCAAGTGGAGATTTCAAGCGAATTCACGCCAATCTTAGACATGGAAACAACTTCGTATTAAAAGTACACAGAGTCATTCGCAGAAACTAGCTTGTGATGTGTGCCTTCAACTCACGGAGTTTAACCTTTCTTTTCATAGAGCAGTTTGGAAACACTCTATTTGTAAAGTCTGCAAGTGGATATTTGGACCTCTTTGAGGCCTTCGTTGGAAACGGGATTTCTTCATATAACGCTAGACAGAAGAATTCTCAGTAACTTCTTTGTGTTGTGTGTATTCCACTCACAGTAGTTGAACCTTTCTTGAGAGAGAGCAGAGTTGAAACACTCTGTTTGTGGAATTTGCTAGTGCAGATTTCAAACGCTTCGAAGACAGTGATAGAAAAGGATATATCTTCGTATTAAAACTAGACAAAATCATTCTCAGAAAACACTTTGTGATGTGTGTGTTCAACTCACAGAGTTTAACCTTTCTTTAATCGAGCAGTTTGGAAATACACTCTTTGTAAGTCTGCAGCTGGATAATTGTCCCTCTATGAGCCCTTCGTTGGAAACGGGATTTCCTCTTATAATGCTAGACAGAAGAATTCTCAGTCACTTCTTTGTGTTGTGTGTATTCAAGTCACAGAGTTGAACCTTCCTTTACACAGAGCAGTTTTGAAAAACTCTTTCTGTGGAATTTGCAAGTGGAGATTTCAAGCGATTTGAGGCTAATCTTTGAAATGGAAATATCTTCGTGTAAAAACTACACAGAATCATTGTCAGAAACTGCTTTGTTATGTGTGCGTTCAGCTCACAGAGTTCCACCTTTCTTTTCATAGAGCAGTTTGGAAAGACTCTGTCTGTAAAGTCTGCAAGTGATTACTTGGACCCCTTTGAGGACTTCGTTGGAAGCGGGATTTTTTCATTTACTGCTAGACAGAAGAATTCTCAGTAAATCCTTTGTGTTGTGTGTATTCAACTCACAGAGTGGAACCTTCCTTTATTCAGAGCAGTTTTGAAACACTCTTTTTGTGGAATTTGCAAGTGGAGATTTCAAGCGAATTCACGCCAATCTTAGACATGGAAACATCTTCGTATTAAAAGTACACAGAGTCATTCGCAGAAACTAGTTTGTGATGTGTGCCTTCAACTCACAGAGTTTAACCTTTCTTTTCATAGAGCAGTTTGGAAACACTCTATTTGTAAAGTCTGCAAGTGGATATTTGGACCTCTTTGAGGCCTTCGTTGGAAACGGGATTTCTTCATATAACGCTAGACAGAAGAATTCTCAGTAACTTCTTTGTGTTGTGTGTATTCCACTCACAGAGTTGAACCTTTCTTGAGAGAGAGCAGAGTTGAAACACTCTGTTTGTGGAATTTGCTAGTGCAGATTTCAAACGCTTCAAAGACAGTGATAGAAAAGGATATATCTTCGTATTAAAACTAGACAAAATCATTCTCAACAACTACTTTGTGATGTGTGCGTTCAACTCACAAAGTTTAACCTTTCTTTTCATAGAGAAGGTTGGAATCACTCTGTTTGTAAAGCCTGCAAGTGCTTTTTTGGACTTCATTGAGGCCTTCTTTGGAAACGGGATTTCTTCATATAATGCTAGACAGAAGAATTCTCAGTCACTTCTTTGTGTTGTGTGTATTCAAGTCACAGAGTTGAACTTTCCTTTACAGAGAGCAGTTTTGAAAAACTCTTTCTGTGGAATTTGCAAGTGGAGATTTCAAGCGATTTGAGGCTAATCTTTGAAATGGAAATAGCTTCGTGTAAAAACTACACAGAATCATTCTCAGAAACTGCTTTGTTATGTGTGCGTTCAGCTCACAGAGTTCCACCTTTCTTTTCATAGAGCAGTTTGGAAAGACTCTGTCTGTAAAGTCTGCAAGTGATTACTTGGACCCCTTTGAGGACTTCGTTGGAAGCGGGATTTTTTCATTTACTGCTAGACAGAAGAATTCTCAGTAAATCCTTTATGTTGTGTGTATTCAACTCACAGAGTGGAACCTTCCTTTATTCAGAGCAGTTTTGAAACACTCTTTTTGTGGAATTTGCAAGTGGAGATTTCAAGCGAATTCACGCCAATCTTAGACATGGAAACAACTTCGTATTAAAAGTACACAGAGTCATTCGCAGAAACTAGCTTGTAATGTGTGCCTTCAACTCACGGAGTTTAACCTTTCTTTTCATAGAGCAGTTTGGAAACACTCTATTTGTAAAGTCTGCAAGTGGATATTTGGACCTCTTTGAGGCCTTCGTTGGAAACGGGATTTCTTCATATAACGCTAGACAGAAGAATTCTCAGTAACTTCTTTGTGTTGTGTGTATTCAACTCACAGAGTTGAACCTTTCTTGAGAGAGAGCAGAGTTGAAACACTCTTTCTGTGGAATTTCCTAGTGCAGATTTCAAACGCTTCGAAGACAGTGATAGAAAAGGATATATCTTCGTATTAAAACTAGACAAAATCATTCTCAGAAAACACTTTGTGATGTGTGTGTTCAACTCACAGAGTTTAACCTTTCTTTAATCGAGCAGTTTCGAAAAACACTCTTTGTAAGTCTGCAGCTGGATAATTGTCCCTCTATGAGCCCTTCGTTGGAAACGGGATTTCCTCTTATAATGCTAGACAGAAGAATTCTCAGTCACTTCTTTGTGTTGTGTGTATTCAAGTCACAGAGTTGAACCTTCCTTTACACAGAGCAGTTTTGAAAAACTCTTTCTGTGGAATTTGCAAGTGGAGATTTCAAGCGATTTGAGGCTAATCTTTGAAATGGAAATAGCTTCGTGTAAAAACTACACAGAAGCATTCTCAGAAACTGCTTTGTCATCTGTGCGTTCAGTTCACAGAGTTTCACCTTTCTCTTCATAGAGCAGTTTGGAAAGACTCTGTCTTTAAAGTCTGCAAGTGATTAGTTAGACCCCTTTGAGGCCTTCGTTGGAAGCGGGATTTCTCATTTACTGCTAGACAGAAGAATTCTCAGTAAATCCTTTGTGTTGTGTGTATTCAACTCACAGAGTGGAACCTTCCTTTATTCAGAGCAGTTTTGAAACACTCTTTTTGTGGAATTTGCAAGTGGAGATTTCAAGCGAATTCACGCCAATCTTAGACATGGAAACATCTTCGTATTAAAAGTACACAGAGTCATTCGCAGAAACTAGTTTGTGATGTGTGCCTTCAGCTCACGGAGTTTAACCTTTCTTTTCATAGAGCAGTTTGGAAACACTCTATTTGTAAAGTCTGCAAGTGGATATTTGGACCTCTTTGAGGCCTTCGTTGGAAACGGGATTTCTTCATATAACGCTAGACAGAAGAATTCTCAGTAACTTCTTTGTGTTGTTTGTATTCAACGCACAGATTTGAACCTTCCTTTAGAGAGGGCAGATTGCAAACACTCTTTTTTTGGAATTTGCAAGTGCAGGTTTCAAGCTCTTCTAGGCGTATGGCAGAAAAGGGAATATCTTCGTATAAAAACTACACAGAATCATTCTCAAAAACTACTTTGTGATGTGCGCGTTCAACTCACAGAGTTTAACCTTTCTTTTCATAGAGCAGTTTGGAAACACTCTGTTTGTAAGTCTGCAGGTGCTTATTTGGACTTCTTTGAGGCCTTCGTTGGAAACGGGATTTCTTCATATAATGCTAGACAGAAGAATTCTCAGTCACTTCTTTGTGTTGTGTGTATTCAAGTCACAGAGTTGAACCTTCCTTTAGACAGAGCAGTTTTGAAAAACTCTTTCTGTGTAATTTGCAAGTGGAGATTTCAAGCGATTTGAGGCTAATCTTTGAAATGGAAATATCTTCGTGTAAAAACTACACAGAATCATTCTCAGAAACTGCTTTGTTATGTGTGCGTTCAGCTCACAGAGTTCCACCTTTCTTTTCATAGAGCAGTTTGGAAAGACTCTGTCTGTAAAGTCTGCAAGTGATTACTTGGACCCCTTTGAGGACTTCGTTGGAAGCGGGATTTTTTCATTTACTGCTAGACAGAAAGAATTCTCAGTAAATCCTTTGTGTTGTGTGTATTCAACTCACAGAGTGGAACCTTCCTTTATTCAGAGCAGTTTTGAAAAACACTTTTTGTGGAATTTGCAAGTGGAGATTTCAAGCGATTTGATGCCAATCTTAGACATGGAAATGTCTTCATATTAAAAGTACACAGAGTCATTCGTAGAAACTAGTTTGTGATGTGTGCCTTCAACTCACAGAGTTTAACCTTTCTTTTCATAGAGCAGTTGGGAAACACTCTATTTGTAAAGTCTGCAAGTGGATATTTGGACCTCTTTGAGGCCTTCGTTGGAAACGGGATTTCTTCATATAACGCTAGACAGAAGAATTCTCAGTAACTTCTTTGTGTTGTGTGTATTCAACTCACAGAGTTGAACCTTTCTTGAGAGAGATCAGAGTTGAAACACTCTTTTTGTGGAATTTGCTAGTGCAGATTTCAAACGCTTCGAAGACTGTGATAGAAAAGGATATATCTTCGTATTAAAACTAGACAAAATCATTCTCAGAAAACACTTTGTGATGTGTGTGTTCAACTCACAGAGTTTAACGTTTCTTTAATCGAGCAGTTTGGAAATACACTCTTTGTAAGTCTGCAGGTGGATAATTGGCCCTCTTTGAGCCCTTCATTGGAAACGGGATTTCCTCATATAATGCTAGACAGAAGAATTCTCAGTCACTTCTTTGTGTTGTGTGTATTCAAGTCACAGAGTTGAACCTTCCTTTACACAGAGCAGTTTTGAAAAACTCTTTCTGTGGAATTTGCAAGTGGAGATTTCAAGCGATTTGAGGCTAATCTTTGAAATGGAAATAGCTTCGTGTAAAAACTACACAGAATCATTCTCAGAAACTGCTTTGTTATGTGTGCGTTCAGCTCACAGAGTTCCACCTTTCTTTTCATAGAGCAGTTTGGAAAGACTCTGTCTGTAAAGTCTGCAAGTGATTACTTGGACCCCTTTGAGGACTTCGTTGGAAGCGGGATTTTTTCATTTACTGCTAGACAGAAGAATTCTCAGTAAATCCTTTGTGTTGTGTGTATTCAACTCACAGAGTGGAACCTTCCTTTATTCAGAGCAGTTTTGAAACACTCTTTTTGTGGAATTTGCAAGTGGAGATTTCAAGCGATTTGACGCCAATCTTAGACATGGAAATATCTTCATATTAAAAGTACACAGAGTCATTCGTAGAAACTAGTTTGTGATGTGTGCCTTCAACTCACAGAGTTTAACCTTTCTTTTCATAGAGCAGTTGGGAAACACTCTATTTGTAATGTCTGCAAGTGGATATTTGGACCTCTTTGAGGCCTTCGTTGGAAATGGGATTTCTTCATTCAACACTAGACAGAAGAATTCTCAGTAACTTCTTTGTGTTGTGTGTATTCAACTCACAGAGTTGAACCTTTCTTTAGAGGGAGCAGAGGTGAAACACTCTTTTTGTGGAATTTGCTAGTGTAGATTTCAAACGCTTCGAAGACAGTGATAGAAAAGGATATATCTTCGTATTAAAAGTAGACAAAATCATTCTCAGAAAACTCTTTGTGATGTGTGTGTTCAACTCACAGAGTTTAACCTTTCTTTAATCGAGCAGTTTGGAAATACACTCTTTGTAAGTCTGCAGGTGGATATTTGGCCCTCTTTGAGCCCTTCTTTGGAAACGGGATTTCCTCTTATAATGCTAGACAGAAGAATTCTCAGTAACTTCTTTGTGTTGTTTGTATTCAACTCACAGATTTGAACCTTCCTTTAGAGAGAGCAGATTTGAAACACTCTGTTTTTGGAATTTGCAAGTGCAGATTTCAAGCACTTCTAGGCCTATGGCAGAAAAGGAAATATCTTCGTATAAAAACTACACAGAATCATTCTCGACAACTACTTTGTGATGTGTGCGTTCAACTCACAGAGTTTAACCTTTCTTTTCATAGAGCAGTTTGGAAACACTCTGTTTGTAAAGTCTGCAGGTGCTTATTTGGACTTCTTTGAGGCCTTCGTTGGAAACGGGATTTATTCATGTAATGCTAGACAGAAGAATTCTCAGTCACTTCTTTGTGTTGTGTGTATTCAAGTCACAGAGTTGAACTTTCCTTTACACAGAGCAGTTTTGAAAAACTCTTTCTGTGGAATTTGCAAGTGGAGATTTCAAGCGATTTGAGGCTAATCTTTGAAATGGAAATAGCTTCGTGTAAAAACTACACAGAATCATTCTCAGAAACTGCTTTGTTATGTGTGCGTTCAGCTCACAGAGTTCCACCTTTCTTTTCATAGAGCAGTTTGGAAAGACTCTGTCTGTAAAGTCTGCAAGTGATTACTTGGACCCCTTTGAGGACTTCGTTGGAAGCGGGATTTTTTCATTTACTGCTAGACAGAAGAATTCTCAGTAAATCCTTTGTGTTGTGTGTATTCAACTCACAGAGTGGAACCTTCCTTTGTTCAGAGCACTTTTGAAACACTCTTTTTGTGGAATTTGCAAGTGGAGATTTCAAGCGAATTCACGCCAATCTTAGACATGGAAACATCTTCGTATTAAAAGTACACAGAGTCATTCGCAGAAACTAGTTTGTGATGTGTGCCTTCAACTCACGGAGTTTAACCTTTCTTTTCATAGAGCAGTTTGGAAACACTCTATTTGTAAAGTCTGCAAGTGGATATTTGGACCTCTTTGAGGCCTTCGTTGGAAACGGGATTTCTTCATATAACGCTAGACAGAAGAATTCTCAGTAACTTCTTTGTGTTGTGTGTATTCTACTCACAGAGTTGAACCTTTCTTGAGAGAGAGCAGAGTTGAAACACTCTTTCTGTGGAATTTGCTAGTGCAGATTTCAAACGCTTCGAAGACAGTGATAGAAAAGGATATATCTTCGTATTAAAACTAGACAAAATCATTCTCGGAAAACACTTTGTGATGTGTGTGTTCAACTCACAGAGTTTAACCTTTCTTTAATCGAGCAGTTTGGAAATACACTCTTTGTAAGTCTGCAGCTGGATAATTGTCCCTCTATGAGCCCTTCGTTGGAAACGGGATTTCCTCTTATAATGCTAGACAGAAGAATTCTCAGTCACTTCTTTGTGTTGTGTGTATTCAAGTCACAGAGTTGAACCTTCCTTTACACAGAGCAGTTTTGAAAAACTCTTTCTGTGGAATTTGCAAGTGGAGATTTCAAGCGATTTGAGGCTAATCTTTGAAATGGAAATATCTTCGTGTAAAAACTACACAGAATCATTCTCAGAAACTGCTTTGTCATCTGTGCGTTCAGTTCACAGAGTTTCACCTTTCTCTTCATAGAGCAGTTTGGAAAGACTCTGTCTGTAAAGTCTGCAAGTGATTAGTTAGACCCCTTTGAGGCCTTCGTTGGAAGCGGGATTTCTCATTTACTGCTAGACAGAAGAATTCTCAGTAAATCCTTTGTGTTGTGTGTATTCAACTCACAGAGTGGAACCTTCCTTTATTCAGAGCAGTTTTGAAACAGTCTTTTTGTGGAATTTGCAAGTGGAGATTTCAAGCGATTTGACGCCAATCTTAGACATGGAAATATCTTCATATTAAAAGTACACAGAGTCATTCGTAGAAACTAGTTTGTGATGTGTGCCTTCAACTCACAGAGTTTAACCTTTCTTTTCATAGAGCAGTTGGGAAACACTCTATTTGTAAAGTCTGCAAGTGGATATTTGGACCTCTTTGAGGCCTTCGTTGGAAACGGGATTTCTTCATATAACGCTAGACAGAAGAATTCTCAGTAACTTCTTTGTGTTGTGTGTATTCAACTCACAGAGTTGAACCTTTCTTTATAGGGAGCAGAGGTGAAACAGTCTTTTTGTGGAATTTGCTAGTGTAGATTTCAAACGCTTCGAAGTCAGTGATAGAAAAGGATATATCTTCGTAGTAAAAGTCGACAAAATCATTCTCAGAAAACTCTTTGTGATGTGTGTGTTCAACTCACAGAGTTTAACCTTTCTTTAATCGAGCAGTTTGGAAATACACTCTTTGTAAGTCTGCAGGTGGATATTTGGCCCTCTTTGAGCCCTTCTTTGGAAACGGGATTTCCTCTTATAATGCTAGACAGAAGAATTCTCAGTCACTTCTTTGTGTTGTGTGTATTCAAGTCACAGAGTTGAACCTTCCTTTACACAGAGCAGTTTTGAAAAACTCTTTCTGTGGAATTTGCAAGTGGAGATTTCAAGCGATTTGAGGCTAATCTTTGAAATGGAAATATCTTCGTGTAAAAACTACACAGAATCATTGTCAGAAACTGCTTTGTTATGTGTGCGTTCAGCTCACAGAGTTCCACCTTTCTTTTCATAGAGCAGTTTGGAAAGACTCTGTCTGTAAAGTCTGCAAGTGATTACTTGGACCCCTTTGAGGACTTCGTTGGAAGCGGGATTTTTTCATTTACTGCTAGACAGAAGAATTCTCAGTAAATCCTTTGTGTTGTGTGTATTCAACTCACAGAGTGGAACCTTCCTTTATTCAGAGCAGTTTTGAAACACTCTTTTGGTGGAATTTGCAAGTGGAGATTTCAAGCGAATTCACGCCAATCTTAGACATGGAAACATCTTCGTATTAAAAGTACACAGAGTCATTCGCAGAAACTAGTTTGTGATGTGTGCCTTCAACTCACGGAGTTTAACCTTTCTTTTCATAGAGCAGTTTGGAAACACTCTATTTGTAAAGTCTGCAAGTGGATATTTGGACCTCTTTGAGGCCTTCGTTGGAAACGGGATTTCTTCATATAACGCTAGACAGAAGAATTCTCAGTAACTTCTTTGTGTTGTGTGTATTCCACTCACAGAGTTGAACCTTTCTTGAGAGAGAGCAGAGTTGAAACACTCTGTTTGTGGAATTTGCTAGTGCAGATTTCAAACGCTTCGAAGACAGTGATAGAAAAGGATATATCTTCGTATTAAAACTAGACAAAATCATTCTCAGAAAACACTTTGTGATGTGTGTGTTCAACTCACAGAGTTTAACCTTTCTTTAATCGAGCAGTTTGGAAATACACTCTTTGTAAGTCTGCAGCTGGATAATTGTCCCTCTATGAGCCCTTCGTTGGAAACGGGATTTCCTCTTATAATGCTAGACAGAAGAATTCTCAGTCACTTCTTTGTGTTGTGTGTATTCAAGTCACAGAGTTGAACCTTCCTTTACACAGAGCAGTTTTGAAAAACTCTTTCTGTGGAATTTGCAAGTGGAGATTTCAAGCGATTTGAGGCTAATCTTTGAAATGGAAATATCTTCGTGTAAAAACTACACAGAATCATTCTCAGAAACTGCTTTGTTATGTGTGCGTTCAGCTCACAGAGTTCCACCTTTCTTTTCATAGAGCAGTTTGGAAAGACTCTGTCTGTAAAGTCTGCAAGTGATTACTTGGACCCCTTTGAGGACTTCGTTGGAAGCGGGATTTTTTCATTTACTGCTAGACATAAGAATTCTCAGTAAATCCTTTGTGTTGTGTGTATTCAACTCACAGAGTGGAACCTTCCTTTATTCAGAGCAGTTTTGAAACACTCTTTTTGTGGAATTTGCAAGTGGAGATTTCAAGCGAATTCACGCCAATCTTAGACATGGAAACATCTTCGTATTAAAAGTACACAGAGTCATTCGCAGAAACTAGTTTGTGATGTGTGCCTTCAACTCACGGAGTTTAACCTTTCTTTTCATAGAGCAGTTTGGAAACACTCTATTTGTAAAGTCTGCAAGTGGATATTTGGACCTCTTTGAGGCCTTCGTTGGAAACGGGATTTCTTCATATAACGCTAGACAGAAGAATTCTCAGTAACTTCTTTGTGTTGTGTGTATTCTACTCACAGAGTTGAACCTTTCTTGAGAGAGAGCCGAGTTGAAACACTCTGTTTGTGGAATTTGCTAGTGCAGATTTCAAACGCTTCGAAGACAGTGATAGAAAAGGATATATCTTCGTATTAAAACTAGACAAAATCATTCTCAGAAAACACTTTGTGATGTGTGTGTTCAACTCACAGAGTTTAACCTTTCTTTAATCGAGCAGTTTGGAAATACACTCTTTGTAAGTCTGCAGCTGGATAATTGTCCCTCTAGGAGCCCTTCGTTGGAAACGGGATTTCCTCTTATAATGCTAGACAGAAGAATTCTCATTAAATCCTTTGTTTTGTGTGTATTCAACTCACAGAGTTGAACCTTCCTTTATTCAGAGCAGTTTTGAAACACTCTTTCTGTGGAATTTGCAAGTGGAGATTTCAAGCGATTTGAGGCTAATCTTTGAAATGGAAATATCTTCGTGTAAAAACTACACAGAATCATTCTCAGAAACTGCTTTGTTATGTGTGCGTTCAGCTCACAGAGTTCCACCTTTCTTTTCATAGAGCAGTTTGGAAAGACTCTGTCTGTAAAGTCTGCAAGTGATTACTTGGACCCCTTTGAGGACTTCGTTGGAAGCGGGATTTTTTCATTTACTGCTAGACAGAAGAATTCTCAGTAAATCCTTTGTGTTGTGTGTATTCAACTCACAGAGTGGAACCTTCCTTTATTCAGAGCACTTTTGAAACGCTCTTTTTGTGGAATTTGCAAGTGGAGATTTCAAGCGAATTCACGCCAATCTTAGACATGGAAACATCTTCGTATTAAAAGTACACAGAGTCATTCGCAGAAACTAGTTTGTGATGTGTGCCTTCAACTCACGGAGTTTAACCTTTCTTTTCATAGAGCAGTTTGGAAACACTCTATCTGTAAAGTCTGTAAGTGGATATTTGGACCTCTTTGAGGCCTTCGTTGGAAACGGGATTTCTTCATATAACGCTAGACAGAAGAATTCTCAGTAACTTCTTTGTGTTGTTTGTATTCAACTCACAGATTTGAACCTTCCTTTAGAGAGAGCAGATTTGAAACACTCTGTTTTTGGAATTTGCAAGTGCAGATTACAAGCGCTTCTAGGCCTATGGCAGAAAAGGAAATATCTTCGTATAAAAACTACACAGAATCATTCTCAACAACTACTTTGTGATGTGTGCGTTCAACTCACAAAGTTTAACCTTTCTTTTCATAGAGCAGTTTGGAAACACGCTGTTTGTAAAGCCTGCAAGTGCTTTTTTGGACTTCATTGAGGCCTTCGTTGGAAACGGGATTTCTTCATATAATGCTAGACAGAAGAATTCTCAGTAAATCATTTGTGTTGCGTTTATTCAACTCACAGAGTGGAACCTTCCTTTATTCAGAGCAGTTTTGAAACACTCTTTTTGTGGAATTTGCAAGTGGAGATTTCAAGCGATTTGACGCCAATCTTAGACATGGAAATATCTTCATATTAAAAGTACACAGAATCATTCGTAGAAACTAGTTTGTGATGTGTGCCTTCAACTCACAGAGTTTAACCTTTCTTTTCATAGAGCAGTTCGGAAACACTCTATTTGTAAAGTCTGCAAGTGGATATTTGGACCTCTTTGAGGCCATCGTTGGAAAAGGGATTTCTTCATATAACGCTAGACAGAAGAATTCTCAGTAACTTCTTTGTGTTGTGTGTATTCAACTCACCGAGTTGAACCTTTCTTTAGAGAGAGCAGAGTTGAAACACTCTTCTTGTGGAATTTGCTAGTGTAGATTTCAAACGCTTCGAAGACAGTGATAGAAAAGGATATATCTTCGTATTAAAACTAGACAAAATCATTCTCAGAAAACACTTTGTGATGTGTGTGTTCAACTCACAGAGTTTAACCTTTCTTTAATCGAGCAGTTTGGAAATACACTCTTTGTAAGTCTGCAGGTGGATAATTGGCCCTCTTTGAGCCCTTCGTTGGAAACGGGATTTCCTCATATAATGCTAGACAGAAGAATTCTCAGTAACTTCTTTGTGTTGTTTGTATTCAACTCACAGATTTGAACCTTCCTTTAGAGAGAGCAGATTTGAAACACTCTGTTTTTGGAATTTGCAAGTGCAGATTTCAAGCGCTTCTAGGCCTATGGCAGAAAAGGAAATATCTTCGTATAAAAACTACACAGAATCATTCTCAACAACTACTTTGTGATGTGTGCGTTCAACTCCCAGAGTTTAACCTTTCTTTTCATAGAGCAGTTTGGAAACACTCTGTTTGTAAAGCCTGCAAGTGCTTTTTTGGACTTCATTGAGGCCTTCGTTGGAAACGGGATTTCTTCATATAATGCTAGACAGAAGAATTCTCAGTCACTTCTTTGTGTTGTGTGTATTCAAGTCACAGAGTTGAACCTTCTTTTAGACAGAGCAGTTTTGAAAAATTCTTTCTGTGGAATTTGCAATTGGAGATTTTAAGAGATTTGAGGCTAATCTTTGAAATGGAAATATCTTCGTGTAAAAACTACACAGAATCATTCTCAGAAACTGCTTTGTTATATGTGCGTTCAGTTCACAGAGTTTAACCTTTCTCTTCAGAGAGCAGTTTGGAAAGACTCTGTCTGTTAAGTCCGCAAGTGATTAGTTAGACCCCTTTGAGGCCTTCGTTGGAAGCGGGATTTCCCATTTACTGCTAGACAGAAGAATTCTCAGTAAATCCTTTGTGTTGTGTGTATTCAACTCACAGAGTGGAACCTTCCTTTATTCAGAGCAGTTTTGAAACACTCTTTTTGTGGAATTTGCAAGTGGAGATTTCAAGCGAATTCACGCCAATCTTAGACATGGAAACATCTTCGTATTAAAAGTACACAGAGTCATTCTTAGAAACTAGTTTGTGAAGTGTGCCTTCAACTCACAGAGTTTAACCTTTCTTTTCATAGAGCAGTTTAGAAACACTCTATTTCTAAAGTTTGCAAGTGGATATTTGGACCTCTTTGAGGCCTTCGTTGGAAACGGGATTTCTTCATATAACGCTAGACAGAAGAATTCTCAGTAACTTCTTTGTGTTGTGTGTATTCAAGTCACAGAGTTGAACCTTTCTTGAGAGAGAGCAGAGTGGAAACACTCTTTTTGTGGAATTTGCTAGTGCAGATTTCAAACGCTTCGAAGACAGTGATAGAAAAGGATATATCTTCGTATTAAAACTAGACAAAATCATTCTCAGAAAACACTTTGTGATGTGTGTGTTCAACTCACAGAATTTAACCTTTCTTTAATCGAGCAGTTTGGAAATACACTCTTTGTAAGTCTGCAGGTGGATAATTGTCCCTCTATGAGCCCTTCGTTGGAAACGGGATTTCCTCATATAATGCTAGACAGAAGAATTCTCAGTCACTTCTTTGTGTTGTGTGTATTCAAGTCACAGAGTTGAACCTTCCTTTACACAGAGCAGTTTTGAAAAACTCTTTCTGTGGAATTTGCAAGTGGAGATTTCAAGCGATTTGAGGCTAATCTTTGAAATGGAAATAGCTTCGTGTAAAAACTACACAGAATCATTGTCAGAAACTGCTTTGTTATGTGTGCGTTCAGCTCACAGAGTTCCACCTTTCTTTTCATAGAGCAGTTTGGAAAGACTCTGTCTGTAAAGTCTGCAAGTGATTACTTGGACCCCTTTGAGGACTTCGTTGGAAGCGGGATTTTTTCATTTACTGCTAGACAGAAGAATTCTCAGTAAATCCTTTGTGTTGTGTGTATTCAACTCACAGAGTGGAACCTTCCTTTATTCAGAGCAGTTTTGAAACACTCTTTTTGTGGAATTTGCAAGTGGAGATTTCAAGCGAATTCACGCCAATCTTAGACATGGAAACATCTTCGTATTAAAAGTACACAGAGTCATTCGCAGAAACTAGTTTGTGATGTGTGCCTTCAACTCACGGAGTTTAACCTTTCTTTTCATAGAGCAGTTTGGAAACACTCTATTTGTAAAGTCTGCAAGTGGATATTTGGACCTCTTTGAGGCCTTCGTTGGAAACGGGATTTCTTCATATAACGCTAGACAGAAGAATTCTCTGTAACTTCCTTGTGTTGTGTGTATTCCACTCACAGAGTTGAACCTTTCTTGAGAGAGAGCAGATTTGAAACACTCTTTCTGTGGAATTTGCTAGTGCAGATTTCAAACGCTTCGAAGACAGTGATAGAAAAGGATATATCTTCGTATTAAAACTAGACAAAATCATTCTCAGAAAACACTTTGTGATGTGTGTGTTCAACTCACAGAGTTTAACCTTTCTTTAATCGAGCAGTTTGGAAATACACTCTTTGTAAGTCTGCAGGTGGATAATTGTCCCTCTATGAGCCCTTCGTTGGAAACGGGATTTCCTCATATAATGCTAGACAGAAGAATTCTCAGTAACTTCTTTGTGTTGTTTGTATTCAACTCACAGATTTGAACCTTCCTTTAGAGAGAGCAGATTTGAAACACTCTGGTTTTGGAATTTGCAAGTGCAGATTGCAAGCGCTTCTAGGCCTATGGCAGAAAAGGAAATATCTTCGTATAAAAACTACACAGAATCATTCTCAACAACTACTTTGTGATGTGTGCGTTCAACTCACAGAGTTTAACCTTTCTTTTCATAGAGCAGTTTGGAAACACTCTGTTTGTAAAGTCTGCAGGTGCTTATTTGGACTTCTTTGAGGCCTTCGTTGGAAACGGGATTTCTTCATATAATGCTAGACAGAAGAATTCTCAGTCACTTCTTTGTGTTGTGTGTATTCAAGTCACAGAGTTGAACCTTCCTTTACACAGAGCAGTTTTGAAAAACTCTTTCTGTGGAATTTGCAAGTGGAGATTTCAAGCGATTTGAGGCTAATCTTTGAAATGGAAATATCTTCGTGTAAAAACTACACAGAATCATTCTCAGAAACTGCTTTGTTATGTGTGCGTTCAGCTCACAGAGTTCCATCTTTCTTTTCATAGAGCAGTTTGGAAAGACTCTGTCTGTAAAGTCTGCAAGTGATTACTTGGACCCCTTTGAGGACTTCGTTGGAAGCGGGATTTTTTCATTTACTGCTAGAAAGAAGAATTCTCAGTAAATCCTTTGTGTTGTGTGTATTCAACTCACAGAGTGGAACCTTCCTTTATTCAGAGCAGTTTTGAAACACTCTTTTTGTGGAATTTGCAAGTGGAGATTTCAAGCGAATTCACGCCAATCTTAGACATGGAAACATCTTCGTATTAAAAGTACACAGAATCATTCGTAGAAACTAGTTTGTGATGTGTGCCTTCAACTCACAGAGTTTAACCTTTCTTTTCATAGAGCAGTTCGGAAACATTCTATTTGTAAAGTCTGCAAGTGGATATTTGGACCTCTTTGAGGCCTTCGTTGGAAAAGGGATTTCTTCATATAACGCTAGACAGAAGAATTCTCAGTAACTTCTTTGTGTTGTTTGTATTCAACTCACAGATTTGAACCTTCCTTTAGAGAGAGCAGATTTGAAACACTCTGTTTTTGGAATTTGCAAGTGCAGATTTCAAGCGCTTCTAGGACTATTGCAGAAAAGGAAATATCTTCGTATAAAAACTACACAGAATCATTCTCAACAACTACTTTGTGATGTGTGCGTTAAACTCACAGAGTTTAACCTTTCTTTTCATAGAGCAGTTTGGAAACACTCTGTTAGTAAAGCCTGCAAGTGCTTTTTTGGACTTCATTGAGGCCTTCGTTGGAAACGGGATTTCTTCATATAATGCTAGACAGAGGAATTCTCAGTCACTTCTTTGTGTTGTGTGGATTCAAGTCACAGAGTTGAACCTTCCTTTACACAGAGCAGTTTTGAAAAACTCTTTCTGTGGAATTTGCAAGTGGAGATTTCAAGCGATTTGAGGCTAATCTTTGAAATGGAAATAGCTTCGTGTAAAAACTACACAGAATCATTCTCAGAAACTGCTTTGTCATCTGTGCGTTCAGTTCACAGAGTTTCACCTTTCTCTTCATAGAGCAGTTTGGAAAGACTCTGTCTGTAAAGTCTGCAAGTGATTAGTTAGAACCCTTTGAGGCCTTCGTTGGAAGCGGGATTTCTCATTTACTGCTAGACAGAAGAATTCTCAGTAAATCCTTTGTGTTGTGTGTATTCAACTCACAGAGTGGAACCTTCCTTTATTCAGAGCAGTTTTGAAAAACACTTTTTGTGGAATTTGCAAGTGGAGATTTCAAGCGATTTGACGCCAATCTTAGACATGGAAATATCTTCATATTAAAAGTACACAGCGTCATTCGTAGAAACTAGTTTGTGATGTGTGCCTTCAACTCACAGAGTTGAACCTTTCTTTAGAGAGAGTAGAGTTGAAACACTCTGTTTTTGGAATTTGCAAGTGCAGATTTCAAGCGATTCTAGGCCTATGGCAGAAAAGGAAATATCTTCGTATAAAAACTACACAGAAGAATTCTCAGTAACTTCTTTGTGTTGTGTTATTCAACTCACAGAGTTGAACCTTTCTTTAGAGGGAGCAGAGGTGAAACACTCTTTTTGTGGAATTTGCTAGTGTAGATTTCAAACGCTTCGAAGACAGTGATAGAAAAGGATATATCTTCGTATTAAAAGTAGACAAAATCATTCTCAGAAAACTCTTTGTGATGTGTGTGTTCAACTCACAGAGTTTAACCTTTCTTTTCATAGAGCAGTTTGGAAACACTCTGTTTGTAAAGCCTGCAAGTGCTTTTTTGGACTTCTTTGAGGCCTTCGTTGGAAACGGGATTTCTTCATACAACGCTAGACAGAAGAATTCTCAGTAACTTCTTTGTGTTGTGTGTATTCAACTCACAGAGTTGAACCTTTCTTTAGAGAGAGCAGAGTTGAAACACTCTGTTTTTGGAATTTGCAAGTTCAGATTTCAAGCGCTTCTAGGCCTATGGCAGAAAAGGAAATATCTTCGTATAAAAACTACACAGAATCATTCTCAACAACTACTTTGTGATGTGTGCGTTCAACTCACAGAGTTTAACCTTTCTTTTCATAGAGCAGTTTGGAAACACTCTGTTTGTAAAGCCTGCAAGTGCTTTTTTGGACTTCATTGAGGCCTTCGTTGGAAACGGGATTTCTTCATATAATGCTAGACAGAAGAATTCTCAGTCACTTCTTTGTGTTGTGTGTATTCAAGTCACAGAGTTGAACCTTCCTTTAGACAGAGCAGTTTTGAAAAATTCTTTCTGTGGAGTTTGCAAGTGGAGATTTCAAGCGATTTGAGGCTAATCTTTGAAATGGAAATATCTTCGTGTAAAAACTACACAGAATCATTCTCAGAAACTGCTTTGTTATGTGTGCGTTCAGCTCACAGAGTTCCACCTTTCTTTTCATAGAGCAGTTTGGAAAGACTCTGTCTGTAAAGTCTGCAAGTGATTACTTGGACCCCTTTGAGGACTTCGTTGGAAGCGGGATTTTTTCATTTACTGCTAGACAGAAGAATTCTCAGTAAATCCTTCGTGTTGTGTGTATTCAACTCACAGAGTGGAACCTTCCTTTATTCAGAGCAGTTTTGAAACACTCTTTTTGTGGAATTTGCAAGTGGAGATTTCAAGCGAATTCACGCCAATCTTAGACATGGAAACATCTTCGTATTAAAAGTACACAGAGTCATTCGCAGAAACTAGTTTGTGATGTGTGCCTTCAACTCACAGAGTTTAAGCTTTCTTTTCATAGAGCAGTTTGGAAACACTCTATTTGTAAAGTCTGCAAGTGGATATTTGGACCTCTGTGAGGCCTTCGTTGGAAACGGGATTTCTTCATATAACGCTACACAGAAGAATTCTCTGTAACTTCTTTGTGTTGTGTGTATTCCACTCACAGAGTTGAACCTTTCTTGATAGAGAGCAGAGTTGAAACACTCTGTTTTTGGAATTTGCAAGTGCAGATTTCAAGCGCTTCTAGGCCTATGGCAGAAAAGGAAATATCTTCGTATAAAAACTACACAGAATCATTCTCAACAACTACTTTGTGATGTGTGCGTTCAACTCACAGAGTTTAACCTTTCTTTTCATAGAGCAGTTTGGAAACACCCTGTTTGTAAAGTCTGCAGGTGCTTATTTGGACTTCTTTGAGGCCTTCGGTGGAAACGGGATTTCTTCATATAATGCCAGACAGAAGAATTCTCAGTCACTTCTTTGTGTTGTGTGTATTCAAGTCACAGAGTTGAACCTTCCTTTAGACAGAGCAGTTTTGAAAAACTCTTTCTGTGGAATTTGCAAGTGGAGATTTCAAGCAATTTGAGGCCAACCATTGAAATGGAAACATCTTCGTGTAAAAACTACACAGAAATCATTCTCAGAAACTGCTTTGTCATCTGTGCGTTCAGTTCACAGAGTTTCACCTTTCTCTTCATAGAGCAGTTTGGAAAGACTCTGTCTGTAAAGTCTGCAAGTGATTAGTTAGACCCCTTTGAGGCCTTCGTTGGAAGCGGGATTTCTCATTTACTGCTAGACAGAAGAATTCTCAGTAAATCCTTTGTGTTGTGTGTATTCAACTCACAGAGTGGAACCTTCCTTTATTCAGAGCAGTTTTGAAACACTCTTTTTGTGGAATTTGCAAGTGGAGATTTCAAGCGAATTCACGCCAATCTTAGACATGGAAACATCTTCGTATTAAAAGTACACAGAGTCATTCGTAGAAACTAGTTTGTGATGTGTGCCTTCAACTCACAGAGTTTAACCTTTCTTTTCATAGAGCAGTTTGGAAACACTCTATTTGTAAAGTCTGCAAGTGGATATTTGGACCTCTTTGAGGCCTTCGTTGGAAACGGGATTTCCTCATATAATGCTAGACAGAAGAATTCTCAGTAACTTCTTTGTGTTGTGTGTATTCAACTCACAGAGTTGAACCTTTCTTGAGAGAGAGCAGAGTTGAAACACTCTGTTTGTGGAATTTGCTAGTGCAGATTTCAAACGCTTCGAAGACAGTGATAGAAAAGGATATATCTTCGTATTAAAACTAGACAAAATCATTCTCAGAAAACACTTTGTGATGTGTGTGTTCAACTCACAGAGTTTAACCTTTCTTTAATCGAGCAGTTTGGAAATACACTCTTTGTAAGTCTGCAGCTGGATAATTGTCCCTCTATGAGCCCTTCGTTGGAAACGGGATTTCCTCATATAATGCTAGACAGAAGAATTCTCAGTCACTTCTTTGTGTTGTGTGTATTCAAGTCACAGAGTTGAACCTTCCTTTACACAGAGCAGTTTTGAAAAACTCTTCCTGTGGAATTTGCAAGTGGAGATTTCAAGCGATTTGAGGCTAATCTTTGAAATGGAAATATCTTCGTGTAAAAACTACACAGAATCATTCTCAGAAACTGCTTTGTCATCTGTGCGTTCAGTTCACAGAGTTTCACCTTTCTCTTCATAGAGCAGTTTGGAAAGACTCTGTCTGTAAAGTCTGCAAGTGATTAGTTAGACCCCTTTGAGGCCTTCGTTGGAAGCGGGATTTCTCATTTACTGCTAGACAGAAGAATTCTCAGTAAATCCTTTGTGTTGTGTGTATTCAACTCACAGAGTGGAACCTTCCTTTATTCAGAGCACTTTTGAAACACTCTTTTTGTGGAATTTGCAAGTGGAGATTTCAAGCGAATTCACGCCAATCTTAGACATGGAAACATCTTCGTATTAAAAGTACACAGAAGTCATTCGTAGAAACTAGTTTGTGATGTGTGCCTTCAACTCACAGAGTTTAAATTTTCTTTTCATAGAGCAGTTTGGAAACACTCTGTTTGTAAAGTCTGCAAGTGGATATTTGGACCTCTTTGAGGCCTTCGTTGGAAACGGGATTTCTTCATACAACGCTAGACAGAAGAATTCTCAGTAACTTCTTTGTGTTGTTTGTATTCAACTCACAGATTTGAACCTTCCTTTGGAGAGAGCAGATTTGAAACACTCTGTTTTTGGAATTTGCAAGTGCAGATTGCAAGCGCTTCTAGGCCTATGGCAGAAAAGGAAATATCTTCGTATAAAAACTACACAGAATCATTCTCAACAACTACTTTGTGATGTGTGCGTTCAGCTCACAGAGTTTAACCTTTCTTGTCATAGAGCAGTTTGGAAACACTCTGTTTGTAAAGTCTGCAGGTGCTTATTTGGACTTCTTTGAGGCCTTCGTTGGAAACGGGATTTCTTCATATAATGCTAGACAGAAGAATTCTCAGTCACTTCTTTGTGTTGTGTGTATTCAAGTCACAGAGTTGAACCTTCCTTTACACAGAGCAGTTTTGAAAAACTCTTTCTGTGGAATCTGCAAGTGGAGATTTCAAGCGATTTGAGGCTAATCTTTGAAATGGAAATATCTTCGTGTAAAAACTACACAGAATCATTCTCAGAAACTGCTTTGTTATGTGTGCGTTCAGCTCACAGAGTTCCACCTTTCTTTTCATAGAGCAGTTTGGAAAGACTCTGTCTGTAAAGTCTGCAAGTGATTACTTGGACCCCTTTGAGGACTTCGTTGGAAGCGGGATTTTTTCATTTACTGCTAGACAGAAGAATTCTCAGTAAATCCTTTGTGTTGTGTGTATTCAACTCACAGAGTGGAACCTTCCTTTATTCAGAGCAGTTTTGAAACACTCTTTTTGTGGAATTTGCAAGTGGAGATTTCAAGCGAATTCACGCCAATCTTAGACATGGAAACATCTTCGTATTAAAAGTACACAGAGTCATTCGCAGAAACTAGTTTGTGATGTGTGCCTTCAACTCACAGAGTTTAACCTTTCTTTTCATAGAGCAGTTTGGAAACACTCTATTTGTAAAGTCTGCAAGTGGATATTTGGACCACTTTGAGGCCTTCGTTGGAAACGGGATTTCTTCATATAACGCTAGACAGAAGAATTCTCAGTAACTTCTTTGTGTTGTGTGTATTCCACTCACAGAGTTGAACCTTTCTTGAGAGAGAGCAGAGTTGAAACACTCTGTTTGTGGAATTTGCTAGTGCAGATTTCAAACGCTTCGAAGACAGTGATAGAAAAGGATATATCTTCGTATTAAAACTAGACAAAATCATTCTCAGAAAACACTTTGTGATGTGTGTGTTCAACTCACAGAGTTTAACCTTTCTTTAATCGAGCAGTTTGGAAATACACTCTTTGTAAGTCTGCAGCTGGATAATTGTCCCTACTATGAGCCCTTCGTTGGAAACGGGATTTCCTCATATAATGCTAGACAGAAGAACTCTCAGTAACTTCTTTGTGTTGTTTGTATTCAACTCACAGATTTGAACCTTCCTTTGGAGAGAGCAGATTTGAAACACTCCGTTTTTGGAATTTGCAAGTGCAGATTGCAAGCGCTTCTAGGCCTATGGCAGAAAAGGAAATATCTGTCGTATAAAAACTACACAGAATCATTCTCAACAACTACTTTGTGATGTGTGCGTTCAACTCACAGAGTTTAACCTTTCTTTTCATAGAGCAGTTTGGAAACACTCTGTTTGTAAAGCCTGCAAGTGCTTTTTTGGACTTCATTGAGGCCTTCGTTGGAAACGGGATTTCTTCATATAATGCTAGACAGAAGAATTCTCAGTCACTTCTTTGTGTTGTGTGTATTCAAGTCACAGAGTTGAACCTTCCTTTACACAGAGCAGTTTTGAAAAACTCTTTCTGTGGAATTTGCAAGTGGAGATTTCAAGCGATTTGAGGCTAATCTTTGAAATGGAAATATCTTCGTGTAAAAACTACACAGAATCATTCTCAGAAACTGCTTTGTTATGTGTGCGTTCAGCTCACAGAGTTCCACCTTTCTTTTCATAGAGCAGTTTGGAAAGACTCCGTCTGTAAAGTCTGCAAGTGATTACTTGGACCCCTTTGAGGACTTCGTTGGAAGCGGGATTTTTTCATTTACTGCTAGACAGAAGAATTCTCAGTAAATCCTTTGTTTTGTGTGTATTCAACTCACAGAGTGGAACCTTCCTTTATTCAGAGCAGTTTTGAAACACTCTTTTTGTGGAATTTGCAAGTGGAGATTTCAAGCGAATTCACGCCAATCTTAGACATGGAAACATCTTCGTATTAAAAGTACACAGAATCATTCTCAGAAAACACTTTGTGATGTGTGTGTTCAACTCACAGAGTTTAACCTTTCTTTAATCGAGCAGTTTGGAAATACACTCTTTGTAAGTCTGCAGCTGGATAATTGTCCCTCTATGAGCCCTTCGTTGGAAACGGGATTTCCTCATATAATGCTAGGCAGAAGAACTCTCAGTAACTTCTTTGTGTTGTTTGTATTCAACTCACAGATTTGAACCTTCCTTTGGATAGAGCAGATTTGAAACACTCTGTTTTTGGAATTTGCAAGTGCAGATTGCAAGCGCTTCTAGGCCTATGGCAGAAAAGGAAATATCTTCGTATAAAAACTACACAGAATCATTCTCAGAAAACACTTTGTGATGTGTGTGTTCAACTCACAGAGTTTAACCTTTCTTTAATCGAGCAGTTTGGAAATACACTCTTTGTAAGTCTGCAGCTGGATAATTGTCCCTCTATGAGCCCTTCGTTGGAAACGGGATTTCCTCTTATAATGCTAGACAGAAGAATTCTCAGTCACTTCTTTGTGTTGTGTGTATTCAAGTCACAGAGTTGAACCTTCCTTTACACAGAGCAGTTTTGAAAAACTCTTTCTGTGGAATTTGCAAGTGGAGATTTCAAGCGATTTGAGGCTAATCTTTGAAATGGAAATAGCTTCGTGTAAAAACTACACAGAATCATTGTCAGAAACTGCTTTGTTATGTGTGCGTTCAGCTCACAGAGTTCCACCTTTCTTTTCATAGAGCAGTTTGGAAAGACTCTGTCTGTAAAGTCTGCAAGTGATTACTTGGACCCCTTTGAGGACTTCGTTGGAAGCGGGATTTTTTCATTTACTGCTAGACAGAAGAATTCTCAGTAAATCCTTTGTGTTGTGTGTATTCAACTCACAGAGTGGAACCTTCCTTTATTCAGAGCAGTTTTGAAACACTCTTTTTGTGGAATTTGCAAGTGGAGATTTCAAGCGAATTCACGCCAATCTTAGACATGGAAACATCTTCGTATTAAAAGTACACAGAGTCATTCGTAGAAACTAGTTTGTGATGTGTGCCTTCAACTCACAGAGTTTAACCTTTCTTTTCATAGAGCAGTTGGGAAAAACTCTATTTGTAAAGTCTGCAAGTGGATATTTGGACCTCTTTGAGGCCTTCGTTGGAAACGGGATTTCTTCATATAACGTTAGACAGAAGAATTCTCTGTAACTTCTTTGTGTTGTGTGTATTCCACTCACAGAGTTGAACCTTTGTTGAGAGAGAGCAGAGTTGAAACACTCTTTCTGTGGAATTTGCTAGTGCAGATTTCAAACGCTTCGAAGACAGTGATAGAAAAGGATATATCTTCGTATTAAAACTAGACAAAATCATTCTCAGAAAACACTTTGTGATGTGTGTGTTCAACTCACAGAGTTTAACCTTTCTTTAATCGAGCAGTTTGGAAATGCACTCTTTGTAAGTCTGCAGGTGGATAATTGTCCCTCTATGAGCCCTTCGTTGGAAACGGGATTTCCTCATATAATGCTAGACAGAAGAATTCTCAGTCACTTCTTTGTGTTGTGTGTATTCAAGTCACAGAGCTGAACCTTCCTTTACACAGAGCAGTTTTGAAAACCTCTTTCTGTGGAATTTGCAAGTGGAGATTTCAAGCGATTTGAGGCTAATCTTTGAAATGGAAATATCTTCGTGTAAAAACTACACAGAATCATTCTCAGAAACTGCTTTGTCATCTGTGCGTTCAGTTCACAGAGTTTCACCTTTCTCTTCATAGAGCAGTTTGGAAAGACTCTGTCTGTAAAGCCTGCAAGTGCTTTTTTGGACTTCATTGAGGCCTTCGTTGGAAACGGGATTTCTTCATATAATGCTAGACAGAAGAATTCTCAGTAAATCCTATGTGTTGTGTGTATTCAACTCACAGAGTGGAACCTTCCTTTATTCAGAGCAGTTTTGAAAGACACTTTTTGTGGAATTTGCAAGTGCAGATTTCAAGCGATTTGACGCCAATCTTAGACATGGAAATATCTTCATATTAAAAGTACACAGAGTCATTCGTAGAAACTAGTTTGTGATGTGTGCCTTCAACTCACAGAGTTTAACCTTTCTTTTCATAGAGCAGTTCGGAAACACTCTATTTGTAAAGTCTGCAAGTGGATATTTGGACCTCTTTGAGGCCTTCGTTGGAAACGGGATTTCTTCATATAACGCTAGACAGAAGAATTCTCAGTAACTTCTTTGTGTTGTGTGTATTCAACTCACAGAGTTGAACCCTTCTTTAGAGAGAGCAGAGTTGAAACACTCTTTTTGTGGAATTTGCTAGTGCAGATTTCAAACGCTTCGAAGACAGTGATAGAAAAGGATATATCTTCGTATTAAAA